>NC_000005.10:175761324-175911769 GCF_000001405.40 Homo sapiens | reverse complement strand
GTGCTAGGATTACAGGCGTGAGCCACTGCACTGGCTCAAGTCTACCAGTTCTTAACTTGTGCTTTCCTCCAGACCTACCTTCGTACGCTGGGACAGTATCCATGGGTCTCACTTTTCCTGAAGCGGGACAGTTAAGTGGCTGAGGAGGGAGTGGCCCTCTAGTTTCTGCCCCATACCTAGCTGAAGGCTTCAGGATAAGGAGAATAATCACTGGTGAGCAGAGGAAACCTATTTCTGCTCTGGAAATGGCTCTTCTCTCCCTTTCTCTTCCCCCACCTCCCCCCTGCTACCCCCCAGAGTTCTGTACCAATTAATCAGCAGACAATGGAAGCTCCAGCTGGGACCAAGTGGGCTGGACTCATTAGTGCAGAATGACATTAATATCAAAAATCTTCTGAGACAAATGCAATGATTCAGGGCAGACGCCTATGGAGGGCTGGCTCAGAAGCTGGTGTGGGTGATGGTACCGTGGTCCAAGACAGAGAGAGCCGTGCATATGTGGGTGGACAACCAGGCCGGGTCCCCGGGATGCCTGAGGGGAAGAGGGGGCAAAGCAGCTCTGCCTTGGGCAGGGTCCCTGTCCTCTTGTGCAACCTGACTTCTCCCTCCTCCCTGCTTGGGGGGCCTGCATGGGTCACTGAGTCACCGAAACCCTGGGCAGGCTGGAGAGGCAGCGAGGCATGGAGGCCTTCAGGGCTGGATGGGCTGGGGCCGGGTCCCAGCTGCATCTCCTCTCCCCTCTCCCTGTGGCTCCAGCAACTCGCTTCCTGTCTTTGGGCCTCTGTGTTTCTTCATCTCAACTATGGGGTGATGATAGCTGCCTCTCAGGCTGGTGAGAGGATCATGGAATGAGGTGGACACATTTTGTAGAATGTGGACTAGAGGGGAGCGAAGGGCATCTTCACCATCTCCTCCTTCTTCATTGTTCTTTACCGAGTGGGGATAAATATCAAAAGTCTTTCTTTAGGGGCAACAGGAATCAAACCAGCTCCCGCAGGGAGCCTTAGAGATAGAGTTTTGCTTGGTTCCTATGCTCGTCATTTCTTCACTCACTCAGATATTCATTCATTGAGTCATCCACTCACACGTGTACCGAGCACCTCTCACATTGGCATCGATGTGGCACTGGGGATAGAAAGGTGGATGGGACACCATCGCTACCTCGGAGGGACTCTTCGGCTAGTGAGGAGGCTCTTCCTGCCTGGAGGACACGCGTGTGGTCAGGGAGAGCTTTGCAGAGGAGAGGCCACAAAGCTGTCCTTGTGGTTTAAGGAGTTTGCCGGTGGCCTGGGGTGGGGCAGTAGGGACATCATTTATTTGAAAAATATTTATTGACTAACTACTACATGCCAGGCACTGTCCTCAGTGTGGGGACACAGCTGTGGACGGCAGAGATGAAACTCTGCCTTCAAGGAGACGGCTTTCTGGTGGAAGGGCATAGAAGCCACCGAGCAGTGAGGGGGCAGTGGCAGAGCTGCTGTTTTGTACTGGCTGGTCAGGACAGGCCTCGGCGAGAGACGCCATCTGGGCAGAGATCTGCAGGGGCCAGGGGAGTGGCCCACAGGGATACCAGGAGCAGAGGGGATGGCGGGACGCATTCCTGAAGTGGAGGAACTCTCTCTGGGCTCCGGGAAAAGCAGGACACCCAAGCTGCAGGGGAGGTGGGGGGCGTGAGGTACGATGGGGTGCGGGGGTGTCCCCGGTCATCTCAGGCTTTGTAGGTCTGGCTGCTGGAAAATTACAGGATGCCCAGTTACACTGGAATTTCAGATAAGCAGCAAATAATTTTTTAGTATAAGTGTGTCCCACGCAAGTTTGCCTTTCTCTGAAATTCAAAAAAAGATTTTTAGTTCCTAATATCCCTTTCTTCTTTTTAAAACATTGTTTTAATTGACCAATAAAAATTGCATATTCTTATGGCCTACAATATGATGTTTTGGAATATGTATACATTTATGGGATGACTAAATTGAGCTAATTAACATATGCATTACTTCCCACCTTGTTTTTTTTTTCCTGTGGTGAGAACACTTAAAATCTACTCTTAGCGATTTTCAAGAATGCAGTACACTGTCATTAGCTATGCTGCCACGACGTACCATGGGGCTCTTTCACTTATTCTCCCTAACTGGAACTTTGTGTCCTTTGACCCACAGCTCCCCAATTCTCACTCCCTGTCCGCCAGCCTCTGGTAACCACCATTCTACTTTCTGCTTCAATGAATTTGGCTTTTTCAGAGTTCGCATGTCCATGTGAGATCACGTGGTATTTGTTTTTCTGTGTCTGGCTTATTTCACTTAACATGTCCTTGAAATTCAAACCTAACGGGCATCCTGCCTTTTTGTTTGTGAAATCTGGCCACCCTAGCTGTGGCCTCTACAAGACTTTGGCTTTACTCTGAGATGGAAGTCACTGGAAGCTTTGGGGTGCAGGAGAGACGGGGCGTGACCAGTTTTAAAGGGTCCTGGGGTGTGAGCGGACTGTGGCTGGCAAGAGGGGGGAGCCGCTGGAGGTGAGAGGTGGGATGGAGGCGCCAGGAGGCAGTGTGCAGGTGCTGAGGGGAGTCTGCGTGTGTTTTGAAGACAGCTGACCCCATTTGCTAATGGGTTGGTTGTGGGATGGCAGGTGGGGGACATGGAGGACTCCAAGGCTTTTGGCCTGAGCAACCAATAAGATTGCAGGAGGATCGTGTGTGTGTGTGTGTTCGCGTGTGCTTTTGGACACGGTTCAGAGATGCCCACTGGACAACCAGGAGGAGACATGCAGTGGGCAGGAGTTCAGAGAGAACTCATTCATTCGTCATCAGCTTGGATGTCATTTAGAGCTGAGCACCTGCCCGAGGGTGGAGGAGGTGTGTAGGTAGAGAAGCAGCCCTACTCCAACATCTGCAGAGGCCTGGAGGCTGGAAGGCCCTGGTGCACACTGATGGTCAGGCCCAGGTAGTGTGGGAAATGAGACTAGCATGGCCTGGAGGCAGAGAGAGCCATGAGGAGTTCCGAGAAGGGGAGTGACTAGTCAGATGTGTGTGTTTTAGAAGGGTGCCTCCGGGGCAGGGTGGAGGGGATGGAGCAAGGCCAGGAGGGCAGAAAGGGGACTGTGGCACCAGCCCTGCCCCAGCACAGCAGCCGGGGACTTGGTCGGGGGGTGGTGCAGGGAGACACAAGGGAGGGTGGTTTGTGTGTGGCGCTGCGGACAGGGCTGGGCAGCAGGATGGATGTGGGGTGCAGGAGGACGGCTGGGGGCAGAGAGAGAGGCTTTTGAATTTGCCTCAGAGGAGTGCAGAGTGTCCCCACCCCACCCCCAGCAGCCCACAGCCACTGTGCTTGTTAGCAAGGAACACTCCTCAGAGGGAACATATGTGCTGTTATTTTTAGGTGATTAGCCGCACGTCGTGGAGCGTTTGTTTGCCAGTCGTGGGTAAACAAAAGCCATTTGTCAAAATGAGATGTTCCAGCCTCGTCCTCCCTTCAGCAGGCCAGTCCCCGCGCTGTGAATTCCTGTTGCATCAGCAGCGAGGCTAATTAGCTCCTCGGCTCTTGAATAATAATGGCCACATTTACCGAGAGATTTCTGTGCACGAGGAGCCCTGCAAATGTGATCTACGCAAGAATCACAGGTGCATCTTATTGGCTCCAGTTTGGAGTGGGGGAAACTGAGGCTCAGGGAGGTGGAGCGGTTTGCTCAAGTCCCCACAGCTAGGAAGTGAAAGCTCTGACATTCTCAGATCTGAATGACCCCCAAGCCTGAGATGGGTGAGGGGGCTGCTCTGTTCTTCTGGAATATCTCCCCTTCCCCATCCTGTGAGCAGAAACTGAGCAACATCACAAGCAGCCTAAGGTAATTAGACTATCATTCCTTGTATGGAGTTCAAATCTTCATTGCATCCAAGGTATCTGCTCTGTTTCTCACTTCTGAGTCCTGCACGTGCTAACCTTTCCAATCTCTGGGCTTTGGACAGCCACAGTGAGTCTGAGGTTTGTTTCTGCCACTTCAGGTCTGAGTATGAGCTTGGGCAGGTCTCTGAGATGAAGTGTGTGGGGGCTCATTGGCCAGTGCTCCTGAAGTCAATACCATTGGAAGGGAGTGGGGAGGAGCAGGCTTGGGCAAAGGGGGAGGCTGACCTATGATGCTATCTCAGCAGAAGGCTCAGCTGGCCTGAGGATGGGATGACCCCTCAGGACTGTCCCGAGTCAAAGCAAAAGTTCGGGTACTTGGCACCCCACATTGGTGCCAGTGACCCCACATTGGGTCATTGGATGTAGGCCTCCCTGGGAATGGAGCATGAGGGCTGTCAACTTTCTGCAGGCAGTACTCCCAGCAGCTGGGGTAATAAGTCCTTTATTCCTGCAGAGGGACCTGGGTGGCACCTTACAGAGTCCTTCACAGTCACCTCTTGGATCCACTTCATGTAAGTTCTGTGAGAAGCTCTTCTAGGAGGCAACTTGAAGAGGAAAATTACTGGGATGAACTCCAACCCCTACCTCTGAAGTTTTGGGGTCTCAGGGCTGCAACTGACATCCTCACCTGCCCACTCCACTACCCATTATAGACCACCTCACTCTCAGACGACATCTCTGTTGGTCTCCTGATTACCTGAGGGAACTGAGACCCTGGTCACCATGCTATTTTCAGGCCAGGGTTGCTACACTTGTCAACTTAACATCAAAATTGGGCAAGGGAGTACCAAGAAGCACCCAAGGGCATCGCCTGGATGTCAAACATATTCCTCCCAGACCCCATATGCAACCGCTTCTGGATGCCAGGATGCGACTCCTCTTCTTACCGCTGGCCCCTTGATGCAAGGACAAGAAACCCAGAGTGCCAAGGAGGCGACTGTGCTTCGACTTTGAGGGACTCTGGCTGTGCCACCTTGCAGAAGTATTTTCTCTTTGGGAACAAGGACCTCTAAACTTACGGAACCCAGAGTTGAGGGACAGAAAGCACAAATTCTTTAAGTGGGCCACTGGGCCGCTTAAGCTTCTACCCCTAGGTTCCTAGACCCGTGTATTCTGCCCAGTGGGGATGCAGTGCCATATATAGTATTTGATTTGAAGTGATACTGCATCTTGGAGGATGGTACTGAAACCTTGTGAAGGCTTGTTTCTGAACTGGCATTGCAGCTCTGTCTCCATCGGGCCAGCAGCTTTGGGGTCATGTGGTGTGCAGTATTAACAGTGGATCCCTGGTCATGGGCCAGCCCACTCCCGCCCCTGCAGGGTTATTGCTATAAGATGGGCTGTTGAGTCAGAAGTGATGTTATGTGGCATCGTGTGCCAGTGAATCAAACACTTCATAGACCCTTGAGCAGAGAATCCATGGGCAGGAAAGGCAAATCTCTATGTGGAACTGGTCTCTATTCCTGATCTTTCAGGAGAGGGTCCAGTGTAGTCATCTGCCACATGCCAAGCCAAACCAATCTCAGTTTTATCCTCTTCAGCTGGTGACATGGGAGTCCCCCATGTGGCCATTCGAATGAGCTGAGGCTGCTGGTGCCTCAGTGGGGATGATGTGGGGTCTGGGCTACCTGCCGTGTAGCTTGCTGGTGTCCTCAAGGCGTGCTCATGTTTGACCCGGGATGTCCCCACCATGTTAGATTGATTGATTGGGTCTGGCAGACCCAGCTCATGACAGGCAGTTCCAGCTGCCTGATCACTCGGTGTCTCATGTCTGGGTGTTGTGTGTCACATGAGGGCTAGTAGCACAGGCACACCAGGACCTGTTTTCAGAAGGTGAATAATCCTTTGCTGCTAATTGTAATTCACTCCCAAATTTTAGGGAGTCTCCAGATCCTAAGGGATTCTCCCATTGGAGCTTGCATTCTTCACTGGCATCTCTTCCTATCACTCACATGGCTGACACCATAGGGTCTGCTGAGTACTGTATGGCTCAAGTCAAGGGATGGGGTTGATGGCTCTAGCAGCCTGACACTTTTGCAGAATCCTTTCTTGCTCTGGGCCTTGGCAGCCTTTCATGGCATTGGCATATGGGGTTGGAGCAGTATTCCTAGCTATGAAATATGTTGCCTCCAGATCTACCTATCAGGTGTTAGGATTTCTTCTTCATGGTGGGAGGTAAAAGATTAAATAATTTATCTTTGCTTTGTAGGTATGTCCCAGTATTCACCAGACCATTGAATTCCTAGAAATTTTACTAATGTGGTGGCCTCTCGATCTTCAGTAGTTTTCTCTCTCACCCTTTGGCTTCCAGCATGCTAGGTACTGCTTGTCTATCTGCCTGATCAGCATGATGACATCAGTGTACTGGATCAGTGTGATGTTCTGCAGGATGTCCGATGATCCAGATCTTTTTGGATGGTCATGACAGAGCTCTGATGAAAGTTGTGAATGTATACTGTTGTCCCTTCCATGTGAATGTGAACTCTTTCTGATTCTCTTTCTTGATTGAGATGGAAATGAACATATTCACCAGATTAATGGCTTCATAACATGTACCTGAATTCAATTTTTTTTTGAGACGGAATCTCACTCTGTCACCCAGGCTGGAGTGCAGTGGGGCGCGATCTTGGCTCACACAACCTTTGCCTCCCAGGTGAAGTGATTCTCCTGCCTCAGCCTCCTGAGTAGCTGGGATTACAGGCATGAGCCACCATGCCTGGCCAGTTTTTGTATTTTTAACAGAGATGGGGTTTATCATGTTGACCAAGCTGGTCTCAAACTCCTGACTTCAAATGATCCACCAACCTCAGCCTCCCAAATGCTGGGACTGTAGGCATGAGCCACTTTGCCTGGCTCCCTGAATTCATATTAATCTTCTCTAGCAGCAATACCACACCTAGCAAGGAAGCTGCAATGGGGCTACTAGTTGTTGCACTTCTGGTAGTTTCCATGGGGAACAGACTGGTGAATTAAATGGGACTATAATAGGAATGATCATCCATGCATCTTTTAGATCTTTAAGAACAGCACTCATCTTTGCCATCCCCTGGGATGTAATACTGCTTTTTAATTTGCCATCTTGGCCAGAAGGGGGAGTTTCAGAGGCTTCCACTTGGATTTCCCCACTATGATAGCTCTTACCTCACAGGATAAAGGGCTTGTGTCAATTACTAAGTATGTCAATTACAGTTATACATTTGGAGACCACTGACGGTGGGACCATGGACTGTGGGTGAGCTGGACCTAAGCTAGAACTCCATTTATCACCTGGCTCCCTTAGGAGGGGCCATGCTAATGCTCTGGGTTTCCCCTTCCCCAGTACACAGTTATCTGAGTAACGCTGGGAAGAAATGGAGGAATCCTCGCTGTGTGCAGTCATGGGGTTCTTCCTCCTGGGGACATAGGCTTTCTGTCTATCAAGTTTCCACGTCCAAGAACTTGCTCAGGGATGGACATTGCGGAAGGGATTTTTACTTTTTTTTAAATTAAGGTGACTGTCCTTAGCTTCCCAGCCATCCATCCGTGCTGTTTTTGATTATGCAGATACAGTAGTATCCTTATTGGCTCCATATCTATGTGGCCCCTAGGGGTGCCAAGTTCTATTCACTCCACAGGTCTCTGTAGGTCAGGCTCCCCTGGCCTCCTCTCTACCCTACCACTCACCACAATGACATCTTCCTGCCTTCTGATGGTGCCATGGTCTGAATGTTGGTGTCTCCCCAAAATTCATACGTTGAAACCTGACCACCAATGTGAGGGTATCAGGAGGTGGGGCCTTTGGAAGGCGATTGGGTCATGAAGATGGAGCCTCATGAATGGGACTAGTGCCCTAATGAAAAGATGTCCCAGCATGCTGCCCTGCCTGTTCTACACTCTGAGGACACAGTGAGAAGGCACCATCTATGAGCCAGAAAGTGGGCCTTCAGCAGACACCAAATCTACTTTGATCTTGGACTTCCCGGCCTCCAGAACTGTTAGAAATAAATTTCTTTATAAGCCACCCAGCCTATGGCATTTTGTTACAGCAGCACTAAGGTAGATGGCTTCTAGTTTTCCAAGGTCCTTGGGATCATTTCTGTGAGTAAGCCTGGTTGTACAGTGGCAATTCCTCCTGCCAGCCCTGGTCCCCAGAGAGGAGCCATCACTGAATTTCTAAGTGATCCATTCCTAACATCCTTGGTAAGTGGGTTATCATCTGGGTCCTGTGTGCAGCACAGGCCTCTGGGAGTTCCAGCCTTACATGGCACACCTCCTCTGGTGGGCCCACCTCTCTGAGCCTAAGTGCCAAGGGCCTACCGTCTGCTCCAGCAGTTCTCACTTCATGTTGGCCGCTGCTTTTTCCCATGTTTCTAGGAACCATCTGTAGTGAGTTTGCACCATCTCCTGGGACACTGGTGAGAGTATTAAATCCTGTATCCTGGGAGAGTTCTCCCAAGTTGATAAATACTCCCTTATCTAACCTTACCTTCTGACCTCCTTGACCAGACACCCTTGGATTCCAATCCCATGTTCCTGCAGACCTGTGCTGGGTAGGTCCTACAGCTCCTTTGGGGTATAGCCCCATCTTTCCTCACCAGGCTCAACATGCCCACAGCTGGTTGCTGTTGTGACTTCATCCTAGTCATTGGCCTAATGACCAGGAGGACAGACGAGGCAGAGCCTGAGCCGGGGACGTGTTGTCTGGCTGGGGAGAGGCCTCTGCACAGTGTCCAGGCAAGGAGGGAGGGAGTGCCAGCCCTTAGCGGCAGGGGTGGCATTCCTGCCAGCTCAGAGGGCTCAGTGGGGATATAGAGAGTCCATCGTTTGTAGAGACCTCAACCTAAATGTTCCCAGCCTGTGTGTCAGGGTTGTACTCTCTCTGTCTCTCTCCTTTTTTTTTTTTTTTTTTGGCAAGGGGTGGGGGGACAGAGTGTCGCTATGTCACCCAGGCTGGAGTACAGTGGTGCGATCTCAGCTCACTGGAACCTCCGCCTCCCGGATTCAAGTGATTCTCCTGCCTCAGCCTCCTGAGTAGCTGGGATTACAGGTGCATGCCACCACACTTGGCTAATTTTCATATTTTTAATAGAGACAGGGATTCACCATGTTGGCCAGGCTGGTTTTTCATATTTTTAGTAGATACAGGGATTCACCACGTTGGCCAGGCTGGTTTCTAACTCCTGACCTCGTGATCCACCCACCTCGGCCTCCCAAAGTGCTGAGATTACAAGTGTGAGCCACTGTGGCAGGCCACAGGGTTGCGCTCTCTTCTAACCAGGGCCCTGGCCTTGGCACAGTAGACCTGCCTTGGTTGGAGTTGCATCTTCTGTGGATCCTGAGCCTGGTTTCTGCTTTCTCCGTCCTCCTGGTGCAGATGAGAGCCTCTTTAAACGCCAACAGAAGGGCCTCTGGCTTTCACGTTAGCCTTTAATTGCTGATTAATCACGCTTAGCTTTTTGTTATTGCTTTCCAGATCAAGTGGGTTTAACAATAGCCACCCAGTTCAACTGTTATATTACTTCCGCCCCCCGACCCTCCACCCCCGTCTTTCTCAAATCTGTCACACTGACACATCACACCAGTTAATGAATTTCTTTCACAAGTCCAGCATCCTTCATCACCTGGGCCAGGGGCGATCGGTGCCAGGCGTCTCATTGCCAGCTGAGCAGCAGGTGGTTCAGCTCCAACCTCTCCACCCCAGTGTCTGCTTTCCTGACTCATGTTCAGCACCAACTGTAACAGGTTGGGTTCCTGGAAAAAAGACTGTGATGAAGTTCAGCATGCAGGATATTTATGGAGAGTTAATTTTGGGATCAACACCTGTGGAAGGAAAGGGCGAGAAGCAGGACTGGGTAAGGAGGGAAATCAATTTGCAACACAGGATGGCAGCCTCTGCTGGCTCGCTGGGAGCTCCGAAGGTGGTAGGAGCCTTTGGAGCTGTCCTCACTGGAGCAAGAGGGCCTGGCCTTTGTAGCGCCATGTTGATCAGTCACTGGATGCGGGCAGTTTTGGGAACAGTGTGTGGCCCAGGTGAGGTGGCCCTTTCCTGTGGAGGCAACCCTTGAAGGTGCGGATAGCTGAGGGCTGTCTGATGGTGGCACTTCCTACAGCTGGGGTAATAGGTCCTTTATTTCTGAAGGGGAACCTGAGTGGTGCATCGCAGTATCCACCTAACACCTGAGTTCACTTCTCTGTGAAATAGGGATAAATGTCCTTAGCTAACACTTGGTTAACTGATAAGGACTCGCAAATGATAGCTATTACATACTTTATAGGTAGTTTTCTGAGGTTTTTTTTTTGGTTGGTTGGTTTGTTTTTTAAGGCAGAGTCTCGTTCTGTTGCCCAGGCTGGAGTGCAGTGGCATGATCTTGGCTCACTGCAACCTCTGCCTCCTGGGTTCAAGTGATTCTCATGCCTCAGCCTCCAGAGTAGCTGGGATTACAGGGGTACCCCACTATGCCCGGCTAATTTCTTGTATTTTTAGTAGAGATGGGGTTTCACCATGTTGCCCAGGCTTGTCTTGAACCCCTGACCTCAAGTGATCCACCTGCCTTGGCCTCCCAAAGTGCTGGGATTACAGGCGTGAGCCACCACACCTGGCCTTTTGAGGATATTTATAAGTGGTAAGACTTCAACTCAAAATAATCTAAGTAATGAAAGGAATTTACTTGTTCATGCAGTTAGAAAGATGGCATCAGGAATGGGTAGATTCAGCAGCTCAAAGGATGTCCTCAGGGTGGATTGCATCTCCCTCTCCTCAAAGTATGTCCTCAGGGAGATTGCATCTCCATCTCCACAGACACACCTGTCTCTCCATCTCTAATTCCTCGGCATTGGCCTCACTCCCAGGCAATCTCCCTACTGAAGTTAAAGATTGCCCCCAACAGCTCCAGGCCCACAGCCTGCCAGCTCAGCAACACTGGCAGAAAGGTTGGGCCCCACACCCAGCAATGAATAGCTCTAGGATAAACCCCAGGGGCAGACACCCATGGGCCAGGCCTGGGACATGGGCTCATCCCTAGACCTGGGGGGATGAGGGCAGCCCCTCTCCATGGGAACTGGGGAAGGAGGTTTCCTGAAGGGAAACTGAGATGCCGTGAGCAAAATAAAGGAGGGCAGATGCTGGCAAAAACCAGATACCACTTCCCTCCACCTGGGAGCCCTCCCCATTCCATCGAGAGGGCGAAGGGGCATGGGACTGGTCGGCTGTGTGGGGGCGTGTGCTAAATTCAGGAATGTGGCTCACGTGATCGCATGTGACACGTGTCTGTGTGGCTGCCTGGAGACACACTGCATGGCCCACTGACCGTGTTTCTGGGGTATATCAGAGTGGGTCCAGCATCAAAGGGGCCCCAGCTTCCTGGGGAAATGGGAAAAAATCAGGGGGTCAGACAGACTTGGATGAAATTATGTGTGACCTTGGGGTTAGGCTTCTGAGCCTGAGAACCCCGCTGGCATCAGATCTGAAGAGGGGACCGGATTCTCCCTGTGCGAATTAAGTGACAGCTCATGAAGCCCTTGGCATGGGGCCTGGTGCACTGTTTGTTCTCAATATATTAAACATGAGAATATTTTAAGATGCATTCCTTGGCAGATGAGATTGCCTACTTAGGAGGCGGTGGTTGCCCTGGAAACGTGGGTTTCTCTGCACAAAGGGTCTGGGACCCCTAGGGACTGGGTTTGCGTCTCTGACTTTCCCTGGGGCAAGACCCCCAGGATTTTTGGTCTGTGTCAAAACATCTTTCTCTTTTGGCTTAAGCTGTTGATCTCTCAAAGCCCCGTCAGACAGTCACTGTCTTTTGGCCCATGGGTTCTGGAAACCTGGTTTTCTTGAATGACTTCTTGGCTGCAGATCCTTTGCTCGGTCAGCCCTGGGCAGTGAACCTTTGCCCCTGGCCCCAAGACTGAGTCCAGGTGGACCACGAGGCCACGTCTGACTCTAATTTGTCTCAAAATCATTCCTCTGCCTGGCTTCCTCCATTCAATACGCATTATTAGCATCTACTTTTGCCGGCCCCAGTGTGAGGCCCTGGTGGTGGTATCTGAGCCTCTCCCCTGTGAAGGATAGATGGCTGAGGACTGGGCCACACAGTGCTCCATGGGATGAGGCAGCAGGGAGCTGGGGGGCTGAAGAGGAGCCAGCCCCAGCCTGAGCCGGCAGTCCCTGGGTCTGTCTGGCTCTCAGGGGGTGCTCTCTTTGGGCTGCAAATGTTTAAAAACATTTATCTACATTACCATTTCTGTACTATTTCATCAAATCTACTGTGACACTGATTGCAAGGTAAGCCTCTATTTTACCTACCACCAAGGAAATAAAGCTCACAAACTCTGACATCCAGCAATTGTAAGATGGCCCCCAATTTCAGTGATTTTAATATGTGAAAATATGTACTGCTTAGTATTGGTGAAATACAGTAATTATCAACATTTAAACATTGGGGAAACAGCATGTCACTTTCTCAGAAAGTTAAAAATAGAAGTACCATATGAGGCAGCATTCCACTTCTGGGGATATACTCAAAAGAATTAAAAGCAGGGACTTGGCCGGGCGTGGTGGCTCACGCCTGTAGTCCCAGCACTTTGGGAGGCCAAAGCGGGTGGATTACTTGAGGTCAGGAGCTTGAGACCAGCCTGGCCAACATGGTGAAACCCCATCTCTACTAAAAATACAAAAATTAGCCGGGTGTGGTGGTGCGTGCCTGTAATCCCAGCTACTCAGGAGGTTGAGGCAGGAGAAATCACCTGAACCAGGGAGGCAGAGGTTGCAGTGAGCTGAGATTGCACCACTGCACTCCAGCCTGGGAGACAGAGTGAGACTCTGTCTCAAAAATAAATAAATAAATAAATAAATAAATAAATAAATAAATAAATAAAAGCAGGGACTTGAAGAGACATTTGTCCACTCAGGTTCACAGCAGCACTGTTCACAATAGTGAAAGCACAGAAGCAACCCAAGGGTCCATGACAGACACCAAATGTGCACATACACACATGGAGTATGATTCAGCCTTAGGAGGGAGGAAAATCATGGCACATGCTGCAGCCTGGATGGAACTTGAGGACATGACGCTGCATGAAACAAGCCAGACACAGAAGGACGAATACTGTATGACTCCACTTGCATGAGGTAGTTGGAGGAGTCAGAATCACAAAGACAGAAAGCAGGGCTGGGTGCAGTGGCTCATGCCTGTAATCCCAGCACTTTGGGGGGCCGAGGCGGGCAGATCACGAGGTCAGGAGTTCGAGACCAGCCTGACCAACATAGTGAAACCCTGTCTCTACTAAAAATAAAAAAATTAGCCGGGCCTGGTGGCGGGTGCCTGTAATCCCAGCTACTCAGGAGGCTGAGGCAAGAGAATTGCTTGAACCCTAGAGGCGGAGGTTGCGGTGAGCCGAGATCACACCACTGCACTCCAGCCTGGGTTTCAGAGCGAGACTGTCTCAAAAAAAAGCAAAAAAAAAAAAAAAAAAAAAAAAAAAAAAGCAGAAAGGTGAGTGCCAGGGGCTGAGGTGAGGGGGCGAATGGGGAGCTAGTGCTTAAGGGGCACAGGGTTTTGGCTTAACAAGATGAAAAGAGTTCTGGAGAGGGGTGGTGGTGATGGCTGCACAACAGTGTGAATGTACTTCATGCCCCTGAAGTGTACACTTAAGAATGGGTAAGATGGGAAATGTTATTGATATGGATTTTGCCACAATAAAAAATAATGAGAAGACGTGTTTTAAAAAATCCAGCTATTTCACATTAAGCTCCTGTATTCTGGTTTCTTCTGAGTAACTGCAAACTCCAGCCACACAGGGCCCGCATCTCTGCACAGCGTTAGTCAGCTGGAGGGGAGTGGGGCTTTCCTCTTCTGTTATCTACAAATTTTAATGTTTATATCAAATAAATAATACATCTTAGGGTTCAACAATCAAAACAATACACAACAGTATAGAATGAAATCTCCAACTCCTACACCTGCCACCATTCACTGGTCTCAACCCCCCACCACAAAGAAACCCTTATTTGAGTTTCTTGTGCATCCTTTCAGGGTTTTTTTTTTTAATGCAGGTAAAAATAAATATGAATAGATATTCCCTCAACTGTCTTTCATTTATAATAGGCTCTGTCTTTGCTTTGATACTTAATGATGCGTTTGGAAGAGATTTCCAAATCCATAGACAGAAGCTGGCCCTTCAGAAGGGCTGGGTTCTCCATTAAGGGGAGCCTCCCCACACCAGCTTTCTCTGCATGCCTAGTAGGTTCCTGGGGGCATTCGAATTCAGCCTCTCTTCTATGTCCCGGGGCATTCTTAAAGGGCGGGGATGCAGGCTGGGGCCGAGAGGGTGGGTGAATGGAAAGAGGGACTTCCGAGTTTCTCTTGGTGGTTGGCATGTGTGTACATGCTTCCATCTGGCGTAAAGGCTCTCGGGTAGGAGAAGGGCACACAGCCCAAGGAGCTCGCCTGAGAGGCAGGATGCAGAGATAAACAAGGTCCAGAGAGTTCATAGTTTTGTGGAGGAGAGAGCAAAATGAGGCAAAATGGACAATTATAAGACCAGAATGGAGGGTATGATCTTGGGTAAGTTAATTAAACTCTTTGATTTCTTTTTGAGACAGAGTCTCACTCTGTTGCCCAGGCTGGAGTGCAGTGGCACAATCTCGGCTCACTGCAGCCTCTGCCTCCTGGGTTCAAGTGATTCTACTGCCTCAGCCTCCCGAGTAGCTGGGATTACAGGTGCACACCAACACGCCTGGCTAATTTTTTATATTTTTTGGTAGAGATGGGGTTTCACCTTGTTGGCCAGGCTGCTCTCGAACTCCTGACCTCAAGTGATCCACCCGCCTTGGCCTCCCAAAGTGCTAGGATTACAGGTGTGAGCCACTGTCCCTGGCCAGTTAATTAAACTCTTTACATTTCTGGTGCCTCATCTGCAAAACTGTGATATTTTAGTCCCCACCTTTCAGGGTCATTGTGCAGATGAAATGCAACAACACAATGCCCGGCGTATAGTAAGCATTCATTCTATGTGGGGGCGTGGCAGAGAGAATCTGACTGCTTGGAGGTGACACTGAATGGGGTTTTGAAGGCCAAGTAGGAGTTTGCAAAGTGGAGAAGCTGGAGTAGTACATTCCCTCAAAGGAAATAATGTTGGATCTCCTGGCTTGCTTTCAGGTATTAACCCTATATTAAATTAGCCCTAGAGGATGTAACTGAATCTCACACAGGTCAGGCATGCAGAATGCACAACTGGGACTCACACCCAGTTCTGTGTGACTCTGAGCCTGGTGGTCAAAGCTCGCCTCAAAATGAGCGAAATGAGCGCTCCTGTTCCCAAGACTCACTCCTGCTGCAACTCTGGCACTCAAAGACCCAAACACGTGACTGCCACCAGCACTCAGCTCTGCTCTCCCCTGTGTGAACGTCCTTCTCAAGTGGGCCCTCCCTAGAAGGTGGCAGGAGGAACACTGGCAGCTCCAGACCTGTATGTAGCCATTTAGCCAGAGCAGAGGGGAGGGGAGGGCTGGGGAAGGGAGGGGAGGGGAGGGAGGGGCAGCTGCTTTCCCAGTGGTTCTCGTGAGCATTTCAGATGGGGTTCTTACTGGTCATAGCTGCTTCATGGGATCATCCTTGAACCCATCCTGATTCACCTTTGAAGTTGGCCAGCGGAGCCAGAACAGGGGTTGAGAGTAGAGAAGGGTGGTCCCTCAAAATAATATTGGGGTTCTGCTCTTAGAAGAAGGAGAGAAGGCCAGCATGCTCAGCCGGTGTCCTTCACAGAACCCCAGAGGAGTTTGCAGCCTGGTCTTCAGGAGACAGAGCTGCCCAGTGATCTCCTTTGAGCCTGGGCTGAGAAAGGCATCAGGCTCCTGAGCTGGGGGAGGGGGGAAGGGCACACAGCCTGAGGAGCCCGCCTGAGAGGCAGAATGACCATCCTGACGGTGGAAAGCTGTGTCAGGGAACAGGCATGGTCGCGGCGAACTGCTCAGACAGGGCGAGGAGCGTTTCTGTCTCCTCCCCACACTGTCCTGATTGTGATCTTGAGGAAGGATGTGTGACGAAGGATCTGAGCTTCCGCAACTCACCAGCTTGAACCACAGACTCCACCTGATCAAGCCCTCAAGGGATTAGAAGTGATTAAGTAAGAGGAAGAAAGGGGTTTTAGAAATTAGTACCAACCCCTGGAGGGACAAAACCAGCCTAGGGGAAGCCAGAGAGGTGAGCTTAGTCCCCATGGCATCTGCTGACCCTTTGTGTAGAGAAACCTGTGTTTCCAGGGCAACCGCCACATCCTGATTGGACACCTCACCTTGCCAAGGAGTGCAATTGGAAACATTCTGGCGTATAATTTATTGCAAACATTCTGCGTATCAGGCCCTGTGGCAGGTGCTGTACATACATGGTCTCCTTCCAGCCTGTCCGTGTGAGGGGGTATTGTTCCCATTTCGCAGACGAGGAAACTGAGCTTCTAGGAAACTGGGAGACTTCCACCACGGTCACACACTGGAAGGTAGAGAAGCCAGATTCCCCCCAGTCCATGTGACATACAAGCACCATTTCTTCCACCCTGGGACCCCTTTTCTGCTGGAGGCCAGAGACCCAATTGCAGCCTGCAGCACCCCAGAAACATGGCAGGTGGGTGGTGCGCCTTTGTCCCACAGTCACTCAGCAAATATTCTGAGGACACTGGAACGGGAGGCACAGAGGGAGACTTTACTTTCTGGCCTGCGTCTTCTGCCTCCCTTTCTCATCTAAAGCAATTTGGGTCCCCATTGCTTCAGAGAGGAGGAGGTGGAAGGTTTAGGAGAGAGCTGGGAGGGGTAGAATAGGCAGGGAGAGGTGGGGAGGGGGCCAAGGCCCCAGACGAGGTGGGAGGCAGGGAGGCAGCTTCATTAGCCTGTCCCCAGGGGACTTGGCAGCCAGTTATTAAATACTCCCTATGTTGAAGAGCTTGGTGGGAGGGGAAAAACCAACTGTGGGAGTTGTGTGTTGAGGGGGTGGGGCTTGGCTCTGCCTGGACTAGGAAACCCCTTGGTCTCATTTGATTGGGGGAGAGGTGATATTGGGGCTTCTCCAGGGCCTATACCTGTCACCATGGCTACCCCCTGGCAGCACAGATGTCTTGGGCATCCTTATATGCAGGCAGGGAGCTGGATTAATGTCAGACCTGGTCCCCATGGCCCCTCTGAGGGGCACCCCCATCCTGAGGCCTTGGCTTCCATGGTGGGGGCTGGGGGTGTCCATTGGACTCTCACACCCCGCCTTGTCTGTCTCTGAGAATCCTGCCATTTCTGTTTGCAGTTTTGGGGCCTCTTCCTGCTCCCATATTGCAGACCACAGCATTTTCCCTTGTTCCATGTGGAAGGACATCTGTTAGGTGGCTCAGTTCCCCTGGCCTCTTCTCTCCCCGTCACCATGTGCTCCCCGGCCATCGGTGGTGACTCGAATTCCTGTCTACAGCTCAGACCTCTCTGCTGAGCAGCTGTCTCCAGGGTGTCTCTTGGGGTGTTTCCAGGCTCCACAGACTCCTGCATTCTCCTCCTCCCCTCAAATCTGCTCTGCCTCCGTGGCACCTGTCTTCAGGAAGAGCACTAGTCCAGGCCAGAAAACTGGACTCATCCTCAACTCTGTTTCTTTCCTTACCCCCCGCAGGGATGTCAGCTCTCCAGTGTCTCCCTCCACTCCCTTCCTCACAGCCCTAGACCTCACACCTTCCCTTCCCTGTTGGACCATTTCACAGTCTTCACTTTGGTCCCGCTGTCTGTCTACATCTCTTTCCTGCCTGATATTTCCAGTGGCCCCCAGCCCTGTGGTTGAAGTTCGCTCTCCTTATTCTGGCATTCCAGGCCCGCACAGCCGGGTCCCCGCTGTAGCCTCTGCTTCCGCATCCCCCTGCAGCCCTTTGCACCCTCCAGTTCCCACAGGGGGCTGGCTCCCCCAATCTCGGAGCCTCTGCTCCTGCAGCTCCTTCTGCCTGGGATGCCTGCCCTGCATCCCCACCCCCTGGCTTTTGGTTTTCAATCTTAGCTAACTCGAGAGTCAGCTCAGCTTCTGCCTCCTCTAGGAAATGCCCCCAGCAGGTTTGGGTGTCTCTACCCTGGTCTCCGGCAGCATCCTGCGCGGTCCTGCGTTACAGCACTGAGCATGCTGTGCCAGAGTCTACTGCAGATCTGGCCCCTGCCCCAGCTGACTGCCAGAGCCTGGAGGGTTGGCACTGGGGGCCTTGTTTATCTCGCTGTTCCTGGCATCCAGCTCAGAGTCAGGCCTGTGCTTAGTGCTGATCCAGGGCCTCAGGGGGATTGTTTGTTAACCACCCTGTTGAGTACCAGTATCATATCCGTTTCCCATTGCTGCTGTAACAAACGCAGTGCCTGAAACAACACAGTTATTCTCTTAGGGTTCTGGAGGTCAGAAATCTGACCAGACTCAATCTCACTGGGCTAACATCAAGGTGTGGGCAGGGCTGTGTTCCTCCTGGAGGCTCTCAGGAGGAGTCTGTTTCCTCGCCTTTTCCCGCTTCTAGAGGCCGCCCACTTTCTTTGGCTCATGGGCCCTTTCTGTCTTTAAAGCCAGAAATGTTGGGCTGCGTCCTTCTGACACTGCTGTCACCCTGGCTCTCTTCTGCCTCTTTCTTCCACTTTTAAGGACATTGGTGTTTACATTGCACCCAATCAGATAATCCAGGATAATCTACTCTTTTGAGATCAGATGATTAGAAACCTTAATTGCATCTGCAGCATTAATTCCTCTTTGCTGCGTACGATAAGAACACATTCACAGATTCTAGGCATTAGGATGTGGACATCTTTGTGGGGGTTAGGGGCATTGTTCTGCCTGCCACAATGTGGGGGACACTGGAGAAGACAGAGCCCTGTCGGGGGAGGGACCATGCTCCATGGAGCTCCAGAAGTGGGGAGAAACCAAGGGCAAAAAGATGGTTGAGGTCTGAGAGCGGGACGGTTTGATGTAGGGAAGTGCCGTTCTGGGAGAGCCAGAAAGAGCTTGCCTTCGGTATTGGTCAGGCCTGCACACAACAGCGACCCAACCCAGATGGCTTTAAGTACAAGGGGATTTTATTGACTTACGGAACTAAAAAAGCCAGAGGGAGGAACTCTTCCAGGTATGGGTTGGTGGATGTTCAGATGATGCCCCGACAATTCCATTTCTCTTCATTGCACATGTTTCCTCCTCATCCGGGATTGGCTTCATCCTCAGCCCACGTGAGATGACAGTGAGGCAGGCAGCACTCGTGCCTCCCAGTCCTCAGCTTTGAGTGCACCAAGGAGGAGGAACTGCGGTCTCAGCACACTTCCCGGCCCCGCCTTGCCCAATTGGGTGCTGAGTCTGGCTTCCAACCAATCACAGGACCAGGGGAACACTTGCCGAAGATTGGATTGGATTTCACGCAAATCATGGGTAGAGAATAGAGGAGGAGTGGGTTCCCAGAGGAAATTCTGGGCGCTGTTTTACCAGATGGGCGATACCCCCTACTCTGTTGTAGGGAGGCAGGAGAGGGAACACTGGGCTGAGAGGCGACCTGGATTCCATTTCTGGTTTAGCTGCTGGTTTGCTGCATGACCTTGAGCAAGTTACTTAGGAACTTCTCTGGGCCTTGCTGTAAAGCAAGGGGGTGAGGTTGGATGCTCTCTAAGGGACCTTCCAGCTTCGAAAACCTTACCACTCGGAGGCTTTTCCCATCTGTTTAGCCCATCTGTTTTCTTGTGCCTGTAGACACCAGTAGTAAAAATCCTTAGAAAACCCAGTGGGTTTTCTGTAGGGAAAGTTGTGGAGAGTAGAGCTAAGTTTGGGATTGGCAGCAGGGCTAGACAGGCATTAGGGAGCTTTGTTCTCTGCATGCGGTGCTGCTGGGAGATAAGACCTGGGATCATGGGAGAATTTGGGGCCCAAGCAAATGGTCAGAGACTATCACATCCTCGGGCTCGGTCTGCCACTAGGGTTAAGCCTCACTCTGTGCTTGGTGTCAAGACTGAGTGTGTGGCCAGGGTTGGGGGTACAGTGTGAGTCGGCGTCACTCTATGGCTGAGGTGGAGACTCAGTCTAGACCTGAGGTAAGGGACCAGAATCTGTCCAGCAGTAGGCAGGGCAGATGCCATAAGCTGGTATATGGGGGACTCAGGTGTCATTCAAAAGCCACTTTGGCCACACATGACTTCTTAAGCACTTATTATTATTATTATTATTATTATTATTATTATGAGATGGAGTCTTGCTCTGTCACCCAGGCTGGAGTGCAGTGGCTCAGTCTCAGCTCACTTGAAGCAATTCTCCTGCCTTAGCCTCCCAAGTAGCTGGGATTATAGGTGTGCACCACCATACCTGGCTAATTTTTGTATTTTTAGTAGAGACGGGGTTTCACCATGTTGGCCAGGCTGGTCTTGGACTCCTCAGGTGATCTGCCTGCTTCGGCCTCCCAAAATGCTGGGATTACAGGCGTGAGCCACTGTGCCTGGCCGGCATTTATTATTATTTAGTAGCTTATAAATTTTACTTATTCTCTTGTTTCTTGGCCACTGCCTTTGACTAGAATGTTGAGTCTATGCAGGCAATGACTTTGTTCTTGGTGGCATTTCCAGCCCTTAGAACAGCGCTCAGCCATTGTAGGTGCTCAATAAATAATTGTTGAGTGACTAAATGAGTCATGCTGAGTGCACGCATCCAGGGGTGGCAGTGCTGTATGCCTTAGACTAGCAGTTCCCTGACTTTGCTGCCCATCAGAACCCCCTAGAGAGCTCTTAATTAAAAACCCCAATGCCTGGGTGGCTGAGGCAGGAGGATCATTTGAGGCCAGGAGTTCAAGACCAGCCTGGGCAACACAACAAGTCCTCATCTCTTAAAACAAAACAATATTTAGCTGAGTTTGATGGTGCATGCCTGCAGTCCCAGCTACTAGGGAGGCTGAGGCAAGAGGATTGCTTGAGCCCAAGAGATCGAGGCTGCACTGAGCTGTGATTGCACCATGGGGCATTCCAGCCTTGGTGACAGAGCGAGACCCTGTCTCAAACAAACAAACAAACAAACAAACAAACAAACTAACTGAAAAGCACCTCCATGCCCAGCATGCACCCCATACCAATTGAATCAGATTGTCAGGGGGCCAGGGCCAGGCTTCAGTATATTTTGGAGCTTCCCCAGGCTAGTCTGCTGTGCTGCAAAGTTTTAGAGCTACTGCATCAGACCACGTAAAGTACAGGAGGGGACATGCTACTGCAGAGGACACACATGGTGGCCGCACAGGTGCAGGAGGGAGGAGGGAGACCAGAGGTGTGCTGCAGCGAGGCTGGAGTTCTGGGCGTTAGGATGGAGACTTTGTGTCCTAGATCTCTATCACATTCTCCGGACACCCGCCATGGAGGTGATTACTCTGCTATCACAGAATGGATTTTGGCCAGGAGTCAAGAAGAGCTCTTGCTTCCCAGCTAAACGATGGCAAATCAATTTGAGGTCTTGGCTGGAGCGGCTGATTAGGGCTGGCAGCTGGGGAGGCTCTGGCAGGCAGAGCCAAGGCAAGGCTCAGCTAGGCCTTGGAGAAGGTGGCTGGCAGGAACTGGGGGCCAGCGTTGGGGTCCAAGAGCCCAGCCTTCTCTTGAAGGGTGGGGGAAGCCTAGGTGTGTGACTGTTCGGGTTTGGGGGTGCAAGTTCTGTTTGTTTAGAATAGTAATATTAACAGTCTTAGTCATCATTTATTGAGAACTTGCCTTGTGCTGGGCACTTTAACATATTTTTGCCATGACTGGGCAGTGCAAGTCTTATCTCTTTTTACGGAGGCCCTGAGAGATGAGATAATGTGATCAAGGTCAAATGAAGCCTGGCTTGGAACCAGGTTCCAAGTGTTTGCTCATGATAGGCTGCTTGCTGTGTGTTGATTTGCATGTCCCGACTACAGGCTCTGGTGACCATGTCAGATTTGGGTCTGAAAGGCAGTGCTTAGCCTGGGTTTGGCTGTGAGGAGGCCCTTGGTAGGAAGGCACTTGCTGATGGCAGAAAGGAATGAGGAGATGTTTTCTCAATGGATGGATGAATGAAGGAGTGTTTATTAACTAGAGACTAAAGAAAGAGCTGCAGGTGTGCTGAGGTCTGCATTGTGAGGTAGACAACCTGCAAGGGGTGGGGGGGGGGCGCGGAGTGGGGGCACTCCCCAGGGAGCTTCCCTCCCAGTATTCATGCCCTGTGTAGCATCCGCTCACATTGAATCACAGCTGGTTGGTGTGGCTAATAAAATACTGCAGAAGGTATGGTATGTGTCTGAGGCTAGGTCATGAAAGACATTGCAGCTTCCACCTTGCTCTCTTGGATTACTCACTCTGGGGGAGGCTAGCTGCCATATTGCAAGGATGCTAAAGAAGTTCTATGAAGAGGCTCTGGAAAAGAGGCCTCCTGCCAATAGCCAGCACCAGCTGCCAGTCCCGTGACTGAGCCACCTTGGAGGTGGATCCTCCAGCCCAGTCAAGCCTTCAGATGAGACTGCAGGACTGGCTGACATCTTGATTGTAGCTTCATGACAGACCCCAATCCAGAACTACTTAGGCCACTCCAGAATTCCTGACCCACAGAAATGGACAGAAAATAAATGTTTATTGCTTGAAGCCACTAAGTTTTAGGGTGATTTATTTATTTATTTTTATAGAAATAGGATCTCACTCTGTTGCCCAGGTCAGAGTGCAGTGGCATGATCATAGCTCACTGCAGCTCAGCCTCCTGAAGCAATGCTCCCACCTCAGCCTCCTGAGTAGCTAGGACTACAAGTGTGCACCACCACACTCAACTAATATTTTGGGGTAATTTATTATGGAGTAACAGGTAACTACTGCAAATTGCTAAGTGTCTTTTGAGCTAAAATTCAAGAGCGCTTCCTGAAGGAGTCAGTTATTCCCTCTGTCCCCTAACTCACTTCAGCCCTTGGCTCTCACCTGTCTTGTGTTACATGAAAAGACAAAAGACAGGTTGGTTTTTTAAATCCAGGCTTCCCAATTTACTATTTGGATGACTGGAGGATTTTTGTCATAACAAATTATTCTCCTTATCCTTTTCATTTCTTCTCCCTCCTTTCCTTTCCTCCTCTAGTTACTTTTCTTCATCAGTCTTGCTATAGTAATAGTAGCATTTAGTAGCAATGGCTGTCTTTTTTTTTTTTTTTTTTTTTGAGATGGAGTTTTGCTCTTGTTGCCCAGCCTGGAGTGCAGTGGTGCGATCTTGGCTCACTGCAACCTCCACCTCCCAGGTTCAAGAGATTCTCCTGCCTCAGCCACCCAAGTAGCTGGGATTACAGGCATGCGCCACCATGCCCGGCTAATTTTGTAATTTTAGTAGAGACAGGATTTCACCATGTTGTGCAGGCTGGTCTCGAATGCCTGACCTCAGGTGATCCACCTGCCTCGACCTCCCAAAGTGCTGGGATTACAGGCATGAACCACCACGCCCAGTCGCTATTATTTTTTAGGTACCTGCTATGTGCCTGGCACTGTGCTAGGGGATCTATGGGCATTTTATTCAGTTCCCTCAATGACCCTGGTGGTCATGGTGGGCATTAGTATATATAGTAATTTTTATTATGTATTATTATGTATGTATTATAATACATAATAATTTTTAAAAATAGATAAAACCCAGGTTCAGGGCTGTTGGATCACTTGCCCAGGATCAGATACAAGGAATCAGATTGAAGGCCAGGTTTGTCTGAGTCCAAAGCCTGTGTCCATTTCCATTTCACGCTTTTACCTGTGAGCCTCAGCTTTCTCATATGTAAAGTGGGGAGAATACTGACTTCACAGATTCCTGTTGGGATGAGGAGAGCAGGAGGCTTTAAAGTAATCAGCCCCCATGTGTGGCATACAGCAGGTGGTTGGTGAGTAGGGGTTCCCTTGCCTTCCCTTTTTCTCCCCTGTCTTATGTACTTTGACATGGGCTGTCTTGACCCTCATGCAGACAGGGCCATGGCAAGTGCCTCTCACAATGAGAGCAGCAGGGAGTTGATGTGGCCAAGAGCTGAAGACCCCTGGTCCTGTCCCAGGATAGAGTGGATGCCCTGGGTCTGGAGCCCACGGAGATGGTGACACCAGCTCTGACCCACCCACTGAGTCTGTGCAATGTGCTGGCTCTGTGCTCCGACGGGGAAGTGCCCTGCCTGAGCTCACCCAGAGGGAAAGGGCTGGAGCCTGCACTCATACCCAGACTAGTGCCTGTGGAGACGCTGGGTGTGTAGCGTTGTCTCCAGCTGGAGAATCCCAGCTGAGAAAACATTGTCCTCAGGGGGTATCGCATCATCTCTCAGATCAGGCAAGAAGCCCCAATTAATTACAAGTGCTAAGTGAGTGGTCTGGAAGCAGGATTTTGCAGTCAATTAAAGAGATGCTGGAGGAGGCTTCATTAACCCCCTGCTTCCTGGCAGCTTTTGGTTTAGGAGAAAGAGGGGAGCTGTCTGCCTAGAATGAGCTTCCCAACACTGTGGAGAATGTAAGCAGGAGTGCGCCCTCTACCTAAGATGACACAGGAGGTTTTCCTGAATTGCATGGGAGGATGGATTTGACTTTACATCCCCTTCCCATCCCAGGTTTCTTGATTTCCTGTGCTTTGATCCTGTAGTGAAGTCAATAGTCAAGACATGGCTACATTTTGGGGTTCACCTTCCTCACAGCCCCAGCTGATCTTCCTCAATCTGCACATCTGATCATGGCATATCTCTGCTCAATACCCTTCAGTGACTTCCCATTGCCTGCAGGTAGAGTCCAAGCTCCACGTCCTGGCACCCAGGTTGAAGTCCCCGACCTCTCAGCCTTTCACGGAGAGCTCAATGAATTCACGCAGATACCCTCTGTTTCTCCATCCCCCACTCCCATTGCCCAGGTTAAACTACTTTTGTCTGCTCCATGCCTTTGTTCATGCCAGTCCCTCTCCTGGATGTGCCCTCCTTCTCCACCAGGCTGATTCCTTCTCATTGAAGACTCATCTCAGATGTAAACCCCTCCAGGGAGCCTGCAGCACGATCCCAAGTTCACCGGTGGCACTGCTCATGCTGTGGTGGGCAGCTGTTCTGTTTCTCCATTATCTCCTCCTTCAGCACGTAGGTTCCTGGAGGGAGGGCTGTATGATTGGTATTCTTGGTGTCTAGCACATGGTGGAAGCCCAGTGAATACTCATTTTACCGGAGAGGATTAAGACTCTTAGGAGAAGACATTCAGGACTGAAAATGAGAGGATGCTGGCATTTACTGACCTTGCGATCCACTGAGTGGAGTGGAGAGGAGATGGAAGCTGAGGGCAGCTATCTGAGTGTCCCAGGCTGGGTTGTTTCTGGAGGTGCGCCCTGAGTCTTAGGAGGACAGTGCCTGGGGTGCTGGGCAGAGCACACAGATGGACTCTCAGGGAAGCCACAAGCCCTTTTGTTCTCTTTCTCTCCAGTCCCCACCCTTAGAAGGCCCTCAGAGCCCAGCCTGGGGGCTCTGGGAATGACCGTAGTCTTGTAGAGGCTCCAGGAGAGCCTGCCATTGGCTGCTGCTCCAGCTCTGAGACATTTCCTCCACCGCCTGGGACCCTGTGGCTGAAGAGGTTTGGAGCTCTGGCTTCTCCAAGGCCCTGCTCTACTCCAGTGCTTTGTAGGAAAGGGGGAGTTGCCTCAGTCTCTATGGTGGGCAGCCTCTAAGATGCCCCCAATAATCCCCTGTCCTGGTATTCACACCCTGTGCAGTCCCCTGCCCAAGAGTGTGGGTGAGTCCTGTGACTTACCTCTAGCCAATAGAAGATGGCAAGGGTGACGGGGGAGTCACCTCCATGATTAGTTTATATAACAACGTGGCTTACATCTTGCTAGCAGACTCTCTCTGTTGCCTTTGTGGCTTGCACGCTTTGGTGAAGCAAGCTGCCCTGTGGTGAGCTGCCCCAGTGGGAGAGGCCCACCTGGCAAGGGCTAGGGGATGGCCTCCAGCCAACAGTCAGCCAAGAACTGAAGCCCGCAATCCAACAGGAACTGAAGCCTGCCAGTAATCATGTGAGCTTGGAAGTGAGTCATGCCTAGCTGAGCCTTCTGATGAGACCCCAACCCTGGCCTGCACCTTGACTGCAGCCCTGTGAGAGGTCCTGAAGCAGAAGGACCCTGGTAAGCTGTGCTGGGACTCCTGACCCACAGAAATGGAGATAATACACATGTGTTGTTTTAAGCTGCTGAGTTTGTAATAATTTGTTATGTAGCCATCGATCACTAGCACGGCCTCCCATTGCACACTGAGCTCCATCTGACTCAGAGAGTCCAGGGGCCCTGCTACCTACAGTGCACTAACCCAGGGGTATGGGCGGATCTGGGAGAACAGGCAGGAGGGTGATGTCAGGACATAGAAGGTGGGGGATCAGGGTCTGCACCCCTCCCCTCATTGCCTAGTAAGTACAAAGAGCCAAAAGAAGAGTGACTGTGGCTACCAAGTAGATGGTGCAAAGATTGATATCTTGGGCCCTGAATCAGCATTGGGGTCCCTGGCAACACACTGTGGGCCAGACCCTATGCTGGGTGTTGCAGAGGGATCAGAGCACAGGCCAGCCCTGCCCTCATAAAGCTCCCAAGTTAGTGAGGGATACAGGTGCAGCGACATCTCTTTCAACAGAAATTGCAAAGCTCCATTCACTGAATGCTTGGCGTGTGGTGCTCAAAGCATGTGCAGGACCCCATTTACTCTTCACAACAAGCGTGGAGATCGGAGCAATGCTTATCATCCCATTTCACTTGCGAGCAAACACTCAGAGGGGTTAAGTGGCTTACTCAAGATCACTCTGCTGGGTGACAGAGCCGTAAGCACATCCAGCGCTGTCTGAACACTCAGACATGATGCTCTGTGGCTGTGAGCACAACAGCCTCTGCTCTGGTCAGGGAGACGGGCTGGATCAGAGTGGGCTGCGCAGAGGAAGTGATGTTTGAGCTGGAGCTTGAGGGAGCTCCAAGCTCCTTAGAGCACCAAGGAGAGTAAGGGCACCATTCATCTCAGGCACCGGGGACAGAATATGCAAACACCAAGAAGATGGTATAGATGGGGACTGGGGCACTTGGAGCACAGAGGTGGGTGTGGGTCTGATCAGTAGGTTGAGGCCACATCACACAGGGCCATTTGGACAATCTGGATGTTATCCTATAGGCAGGCGCCTTCCTGTAGGCCTTTAGAGGGCTCTGGGCAGGGAGTGACATGGTGAAGTCTGCATTTTGGATGCGCCTTGGAGGCAGGCGCAGGGTGGCAGAAGAGGGTGCATGGAAGGAGAGGGGTGGGGGCTGGGAGACCATTGCGTGGCCATGGGAAGGGCCCAGCCAAGCTGAGAGGATTGGGACCTAACTAAGGCAGGGTATTAGGGTGAGGGTAAGGGTGGAGGGGGTTCCGGAACAGTTCTGACTCCTCACCAAGGCCTGGGAAGTGCCTGTGTCTGGGAGGAATGCTGAGTGGTGTCCTTTCTTTGGGACCCCAGGCTTCTGCACGTGGCCCGTGGGGAGTAGGTCTCCCTCAGTGTCTGGGGAATGAATGAGGACAGGTTGCTGCCCACCGTGCGACTTGACAGCATTCTCAGGAAGCGGCACCCAGAGGGGCTCGGGGGAAGGGGTGTCAGAGATGGTGTGTGTGTGCGGGGGGTGGGGGGGTGGTCCATGGGGAACACTCAGCCCCTGGGGCTGAAGAATTGATTCTGGAAGGCAGGGAAGCAGAGTGATCCTGGAACCCCAAGCCCAGTCCCAACTCTGGCTGCGGTTGATTTCTGGAGTCATCTCCATGGTGTCCTGGCCAGAAGCCAGGGTAAAATTGAAGATTTTCTGGGGCCTCGAGCTTTGTGGGTTGCCTCCTCCCTGGTGAGTTGGTGCCCCTGTTTGTCTCTGGTGGTGCCGATGGACAGAAGAGCACAGACAGAGAGCTGCTGTACAAGGTCTTTTTCTTTGTTGTCATGGTTGATTTTGTACATTTCAGCATTTGCATCATACAAAGGGGGGAGCAACAGCCATGGCTTTTGGTCAGGTTCAGGGGGGCTGAGGGGGTGCTCCTCCCCTCCCCCCAGGCACTGACACATTGAAAGGAAGCAGAGCAACAATGACACAGCACGGATGTGGGAAAGGGGATCCCCCACGGGGGCAGGATGGTCCATCTCACCGGGGTCTCACCAGGACTCCCCGCTCCCACCCAGGGCCAGCACGAGCACCTCCCGTTTTCTCCCCAGTGCAGAGCGTGGGGTGACAGGAGTGGGACTGGAGCAGGGGACATTTGGTGGGAGGCATGTCCTCAGGCCTGGGAGACCAGGCTGGCCCCAGCCTCCCTGTGCGGTCAGGGGCCTGTGGAACCCTAGAGGATGGAGCAGGTGGACAGCAGGGGTGGGCAACCCTGCCAGCTGGGTACTAGGGCTATTGGGGCTGGAGGGTCTACCCCACTGTACTCTAGCCACAAGGCTGTGGGGTGGCTGCTTTGCCCACCAGCTGTCCCCCTGATAGGGGATCTGGGCTGCAATACTTCTGTATCCTCCCTGTTCTCTCTCTCTCTCTTACACACACCTGGGATGGTGTCTCGACTTCCTGATTCCATCTGGAGGAGTACCCTGCACAGCTTTGCAGTTAAGGACACCTTCTGGGAGCTTCTGGATTTGGAGGGGAGGACGTCCATGTTTGGAGATCCTGACCTGTCACTGGTGCCCAGCCCAGGGCGATCCACAGCCGCCTTTTTGCTTCTCTCTGGCAGCTCCTCCCAGGCATGGGATCCTGGGCCCTTCCCTGAGAGCACACACGCTCACCTCACCTGGTGCACGCTCCCTTGAACCTCATTCTTTTTTCACCCATCTACAAATGATTGCTCCTTCCTATTTTCTCATCTGGGGGTTCTCTCCCTTGTGTGTTGTGTGCGTGCTGAATTCTGGGGCCACTCCTCCCCTAAGTGTGTTGCATGCACACTGCCCCATTTGTATGTGCACACTCATTGCCCTCCCATCCAGTGGGTCACACACACCTCACCTCCCAGGCGATCCTGTGAGGATTCTGCCCCTGCCAGAGCAACTCTCACGTATTCTGTGCACTACGTGCTCCACACAGACAGGCTCTCTGGGCCACACATTAGCTGCTCTCCACAGCCAGGTCTGCATCAGTAATGATAGTCATTGTGTTCCCCTGGGCCTAAGAGTGATCACTTGGCAGTGGTTGGAGCCAGGTGTGTGCCAGGCAGAAATTTTCTCCTATATCCACCCCCAGGAAGACCTGAAGTCCTGCTGTCCTGGAGCAGAATAGAGGGGTCTGGGACATGGACCCAGACTAAACCAGCCATCCTGGAGGGCAGGCATCAGGGTGGGGCTGAAAGCCCCGATCCCACTCTGGGAATACAGAGGGACTGCACTGTGGAGAACACCAGGGCAGCCCTCTGAAGGTCTGGGGTCCCTCCGGCCCACCTGGGGTATCTGGTTCGACTGGGTTCTCTTGCTCATCTGAAGCACCCTGCGCCTTGGTCTCTGCTACCTATCTGGTACTCTCTGTGTCCTTGCATCACTGTCGAGGTTTGAAGGTCCCTGTCAAGTGGCAGAGGGGGACCTCTCTGAACACTTGTGTCCAAGTGGGGCTCGCACACTGGGACTGGGGAGGCCTGGGGCCCCTGGACTGGGCCCTGCCTGTCTCTGGCCCAGGACCCCAGGGTTTTTGAGAATGACCATCCTGCCCAGGATAACAGACACAAAGAGACAAGCAGACAACAGGGGTGCGAGGCGGCTCCCCATCACAGACACAGGCACAGACACAGACACAGGCCCCCTGGGGGGCTGGACACAGGGGCACAAGGTGGGGGCGGGGTGCGGGGAGGAAGGTAGGTCAAGGGAGCTGGAGCTGTCGAGGCCCTGCTCCCCAAAGAAGGGACAGACCAGGGGACTTTTCTGGTTCCCTAAACATATGGATTGTTTTGTCTCGTGTTTAAAGTATTGCAGTCTAACTGATATGGCTTTACCTATTGGAAACGGACAGAGAAGACACATGTCTGTCTCTGAAATAAAAGCAGAACCCACTAAAATGGAAAACCTGCAGAATGCAAACTGGGGCCAATGGGAACAAGGGCTTCAGGGGCAGGCAAGTCGCCCCCTCCCTGGCCCCTGCTTTTGGGATAGGCCCTGGCGGGGGCCCAGCATGGCTTCCTGGGGCGCTGCCTGGGTCCATTGCAGTGGGATTCTGAGGACCTCAGGCAGGAGCCCCCCAAGGGTGGGAGGACTCTAGGCCAAGGACAAGGTCTCCCGTTGGAGGTGGCCAACTGTGACCAGTGGTCTCAGGGCTGGGAAGGGACATCTTACCCACGTTCTTTCTCCCCACGCACACATCCATGCACACAACTGTCTTTTCAGACCCCCAAACATGCACACAGCAGCCTTCAAATGTCTCTGAATTCTCTCAAACACACGCTTCTACAACCCATCACATACCTAACACATACCCATCACTCCCAATACACACACTGTTTTGAAAACACATTCTTACACAAGCTAACATATACAGCCTCTAAACACGAGATGGATAGCACACACATATGACACAATTTCAACCCAAATACACCACCTCAATCAAGCACACATACACAAGGCTAACATACACAATCTGTAACACATAGATATGATGACTGCAACACACACAATCTCAAGACACACACACGCTCCAGCCCTACACATATGCATATGATCTCTGAACACACAATCCCTGTTGCAGTCTCTGCCACGCATTATCATGCATGCATGGATACAGTTTCCTCCCTCATGTGACCCCTCTTCCCTCACCATCCCCACACAACTGACTGAGCAGAAAGCTTTGATAATTTGAGTGGGGGACAAATGCCAGTCCCAGACGTCCCAGAGGAGAGTTTGTCCTTGGCCAATGAGATGAATGGATGGACGCCTTCTGTCAAGTGGGAATTGGCTTCTCACCAAAGGCTTGGGGCTTTGGCCAGGAAGCGTCCTCCTGGGGACCGTGGGGCCCTGGAAGCGCATGGACAGGACGGGGTGGGGAGAGGGGTGGATAGGAATGGGGGCAGCTTGGCCACACCAATGGAGGTGTTCCCCATGGCATAGACCATCGCTACCCGATGGCTCCAAGTGTTTTCTGGGGGCCTGGCAGCCCCTTGACTGAGCAAGCTGGGCCCAGCCTGGCAGTGGGGGCCCAGGACCTAAGTGGGGTGGGGGTGAGGAACAAGGGGCGTCCCTACCTGGGGTTCCTCCACAAATGAGCTAAAGTCCACAAAGGATCCATTTGAAGGGACCAGCTTGGCAGGGGCCATGTCTCTCCAGGTGGGGGCTGGGGAAGGGGGTGCCCCTGGGCTGGGTGTCACCAAGGAGATGGAAGAAGAAGAGCCCCAGCCTCCCACCCAGATCCCAGCCTGGCCAGAGCCAGGGCCTCTCAGCCTGGGCCTTCCCGGGACAGGCTTCCCCTGACTCCCTTCCTCAGAGCCAGGCCACTCAGTGCCCCTGCCCTGACCTGGGGGCCCACTGAGGGTTAGAGGCCAAAGGTCAGCATGCTGGGCAGGGCTGGAATGTGTCATTACTTTGGCTGGCTGGGGACAGTGGTCCTCCTGGCAGTGGGGAGCAGGGAGGAATGTATGGGGGTCACCACACTAGCACGACCTTAGGCTTCCTGAGGGGCCCCCCTGACCCCTGCTGGGGAAAGACTGTCCTCCCTTTTTCAAGCTACTTGGGAGTGGGGTGCAGGTGGATACCCTGGGATGAAGGGAGGTGTGAGGGAGAGCTGAGGGGGAGAAGCCCCTGGCCAGGGAAGAGGGGCAGAGGCCAACTGAGGTTTTCCCCTTCAGAATTGAGACTTAACCTAATAAAAAGAAAAGAAAGAACCAAAAAGAAGTAGTAACAGGTGGAGTAGGCTGGGGCAGGAGGCCTGGTTACTTCTTGAACATGTCCTGCAGCGGCCCGGGCAGGTATTTGAGCACCGTGTCCAGGATGCTCTCCTCTTCCTCCTCCTCCTCGTCCCCGCAGCCCGCAGGGATGGCCTTCTTGGGCCGGGTCAGGCTCCCCTCGCAGGGCTGCTCCAGGGCTGCTTTCTCCTCTGCTTCCTTCTCCTCCTTCTTCTTCAGCCCATACTGGGGAGGGGGAGGGCAGAGACGCGCATGAAGCGGGGTGGGCAAGGAGACAGCAGGAGTCTCATGATCATGCAGCACTGGCTGAGGTGGCCAGGAGTGCCTCCCAAGCCTCAGTCCTGTCATTAGTAAAGTGGGGATAAGGGTGTCTTCCCTGTAGGATGGTGCCTGGTCCTCAGTGGGAGAGACCATACGTGGGGTTTCCTTTAAAATTAACACCTGCCCATCAGAACTTCCTGCTGTGTTGAAACCCCCAAAGATCTGAACACATGGCGTTTGCCCATATATTTTGAGCCAAATTTTGGTGACGAATCTGACTTGAACCAATGGAAGACTACTTCTAGCCTTTATTTATTGCACGCACTAACAGACATGCACTGGACTGTCTGGAGTAGGGTGGCAGCCCCAGACCCGCTGGGAGTGACAGCTGACAGCACAAAGTGCTTAGGACACTGTGGTATTTTTCGAACATTCCCAAATTCAGAACTGCACTCATTTTTGGTCCCAAAGATCTGCAGTACGAAATGGTGGACCGTAGGGTCCACCCTCTTGGAGTACCTACTACGCGCATTCTCTTATTTAATCCCCAAAAGGATCCCTTGAGGGAGGTGACCTTGTGATACCCGTTTTGCTGATGAGAAGAGTGAGGCTCAGAACTAGGGCGAAGGTGAGAGCTGGGATCCAGGGGAGCCCCAGCAGGGGCTTTAGCTGGACCGGTTTTACCCGCTTGTGGCCCTCCCCAGGACGGGCGGGCGGGCGGAGCTGACCTTATCTCGGATCTGCTGCCGGACCTTCTCCCGCTCCGCCTCCATGCGCGCGTGCTTGGCCTTACGCTCCTCCTCCTGCTGCCGCAGCGCCTCCTGCCGCTCCTCCTCCTTTTTCTGCGCGTCGGGGTCCTTCTCCTCCTCTCCCCCCAGCATCTTCCCCATGTCCTTTGTGGCCCCTACGAGGAAGGGGTGGGAAGGAGAGGGCGGGGTCAGCTAGGGGTCAGGGCTGGGGAGAGAGGGGCCGGGTGGGCCGAGGCCACCTCCCACAAGGGTGGGACCGGCTGAGGACACGCGGAGGGGCGCTGGACCTCACCTCCAAGGGCCTGCTTCATGACGAAGTCCATGCCGCCGGCTCTGGTTAGCGTGCCTTAGCCCACGGCAGAATTTGCATGCAGCGCTCCTGGCTGGCCTGGCTTGGGAAGATGTGACAACCTGCAGAAGAGAATTGGGAGTCAGATGGGAGAGGCCTCTGCACAGGCAGGGCGGGGGAGCTAGGCAGACAGCAGCCTCACCCTGGTTCAGACACCAGGCACCCATCGCTCTGAGGTCAAGACCCAATGCCCTGCTGGAGGAGAAAGGAGATGGAAGAGAGCGATTTACTGGGCAGACACGTAGGTGCTGCCAAATAGCTTTTTGAAAGCGGTTTGGTCCCTATTTTAAAGCCTTCATCTTGACCCTATTGTTCAGATTTGATTGAAGCCAGGAGCATTGGAAAGAGCCTGGAACTTGGAGTCAGGCAGATCTGGTTTCCAACGCCACCGTCATTTCCTTATTTGCCATGGGACCTTCAGCAAGGCCCTAACCTGCTCGAGTCCCCAGTTTCCTCCTCTCTAAGAGAGAAATGGCAATGCCACCTTTCCCCGGCTCCGGCGGAGATTGGAGGGGGCCCAGCCTGGGCCACTGGATCAGCCCATCAAAAGACCAGCCGGTGTTACTGCCCCAGCCAATCGGAGGCAGCTGAGCAAATGAGAACAGCCAGCTTGGATAAACAGATCCTGACTTTTGAAATTAGACAAATGGAAAATACGTTATTTTTATTGTAATGTACGTGTAATTTTTATGTTTTATAGCTTAATATCGATTTTTATTTTGAATTTCACGTGGGAGTGTTGGAGACATTATAATCTTCTGGGGGCTTAGGGCTTTTAAACTACCTAGCACGGGCCTTGCAGGCACTCGGCAGACATTAGCACCCTACTCCTCTTCCTAAATCACCGGCTTTCAGTTTTTATTATATTTTTTATTATGTTTTTGCCTCAGAAGGGTTCTCCAAATAAAATCTTAATGGGATTCTCAATATGCAAAATATGTAAAAGTGGAACTCTTCCAGTGGAGGTGGTGGGGGAGGAAGAGCCTTCCCCCTTGGCCTCCTTACCATCTTCCCCCTACATCCCTGAGAAGCTGAACCCTAGTGCTCTAACTTGAGATTTTCTTTGTATTTTAACCATTCAGTTCCACTGTTCTTTAACAGACACAGATCTCTTTTCAAGTGTAGAGGGGACATCCGTGAGCTATCCAAAGTGTGAAGTAGCTTCATGGTAAGCTGAGGCCAGGCCTGCTCCCCAAGGCCTTTTGTCCCACACAGCCTTGCAAGGAAGAAAAAGGGTTCCTGGGAAAGGGTGGCAGATGTTGCAACCTTGTTGGGTTCAAGGCTGGATATTGCAGCCTGGCTGAGTTCAGGGTCACTGGTTGTTCTTTGATAGATTTTCTTCATTTCTCTCAAGATGAGAAGTCATATCGGTAGACTGAGATTATTTCATGATATGGGGCCCAAGAGCTTATCTACGTGATCAGACCATCTCATCTGATAGGTTGTTTTGGGAAGAGAAAGTCATGATGTGTAGGAAAAAAAAAAAAAAAAAGCAAAACACAAAACAGCCCAGGGGCTTTGGCATCAGACACACCTGGTTCAAAATCCAGGCAGCTATACTTACTGGCTGGGGGTCCCTGGGCAAGCTTCAGTTTGCTCCCTGCAAAATGGGGGAGTATTAAGGTTGCCCTTGAATGGACGTTTGAAGGAGAATGAATGATACCGGTCAAGTGCCTGGGGTGTTGCAGGAACTCATAAAATGTCAGCCGTTGCCGACTACATATTTGTGGAACAAGCCAAAAAGGAACAGGCTTTCCATGCTTTCTCAGAAATGCAAGAGAACCCACCCTCCTAACCCCGAATTCTGAGTTTGCAGGTTGCTCAGCTCAGTCAAGATGTTTTCGTTCGATTTAATACATTGTGAAAAAACTTCATTTCTAAGAACAGGAAATGAACAATTTAATAATCAAGTGATTTCAGAAACTCTTGGGTTCCTACTCTGTGTTTACATAGAGCTCAAGGAATTACCAGGTGGCAGTGGGAGATGCAGGGCTCTAATTTGAGATGTTCCAAATTGGTAGGCAGGGCACCCGGGCTTTAGTTGCAGCCTCATCCCTAACTTGCTGGGTGATTCTGACACGTCTCTCTCCTGGATCAGATGATCTTCCAGGCCCTTTCTCCCATGCCTCTGTTGAAGCAGTCTGCAGCATTTGAACTGCTGACAACCCCACTGTACCCTCAAACCTCCTTCTCTCTTGGTTCTGTGACTCAGTTCTTTCCTATCCCTGCTTCCCCTTACTGTTTCCTCTCCTCTCCTCTTTTCTTCTCTTCCTTTGCCTTTTCTGACTCCTCTTCTTCCTCCTGTCTCTTCCCCATAACTCTGACCTCAGCCCCTGCCTCTTTTTACTTTCTAATCTTTCCCTGGGAGAACTCATCCATTCTAGGGGTTTTAATGACCACTGACACTGATGACACCTAGACCTCTATATTCACTCATCCAGCAAGTATTAATTGAGCACCTACTATATGCCAGTCAATGTGTTAGGCACTGGGGATTTATAGGAAACAGGACAGACAAAGCCTTGCCTTCATGCAGATTACATTCTGAGGTATGTATGTGTGTATGTGAGTGTGGGGGTATATGCACACATGCGTAGGAAAATAAGCAATAAATAAGTAAAAAAACACATTTACCTTCTCCTGGATACCCTTTCCTGGATGTCTGTGGGCACCCCTCAAACTTAACATGCCATTTCTGTATCACCAAACTATCACCTTCTCCGGCCACCTCTGCTTGCCAGCATGCATTCATCAGACATTGTTTACCACTGCCACCCCTCCACCAGTTTGCAAAGTACCTCTACTCACCACTGAGTCTTCTCAATGCTTACATCCCTGTGGCTCTAAGTAGCTCTTCTTCAGCCTGCTGGGATTCTTTATCTGAAATTCCCGAGTCTGCCCAAAAATCCTGCTGCCTGATCCCAGCATGGACCTCTGAGCTGTTAAGCAGTCTCCTGTTCACTCTGTCTACACTCTCCCAACCAATTCTCCTTTTCTTAAGGCCCAAAATGCTACTGCCTCTTCCTTCTCAGCAGGTGACTTTCCCTCCACTTCACGGGCGAAAGTATAAGGGGTCTGAGCTCTGAGGTTAGGCATGCCTGACTCAGATCTTGAATCTGCCACTTTTTAAGCTGTGCAATAGTGAGTAATTGACCTAACCTCATTGATACTTGATCTTCTCTATAAAATGAGAATTATAATGGCACTTTGAAATTTTAGAAATACTCTATGGGATGTGTTTGCACATGCTGGGTGCTCAGTAAATGGTTGTAATAATCAAAACAATTAATGTCAGTGAGTGGGAGCTCCTGTAACCTCCCCTCCTTCTAGCTCCTGAGGAAGAAGCCCTCTCCTGGCTGAAGCCAATTCATCTACCTGTGCCCTGGATTCCCTCTCTTTGTACCTCACCACTCCCTCTTCCTCACATCTTCCATCCCTCTCCATATGTTGCTTTTATTCCCTCCCTTCTCTAACTCCTTCCCTAAATTCTGCGTTTCCCTTAATCCCACCCCTCTCACTTTGTGATGAAGTGATCTCCACATGGTATCTCCACATCTTCACCTCCCAGTCAAGCCCTACCTCTCTGTGAGACCAGAGCTCTGCTGCCTCTGCAGGAGCCCTGAAACTGCGGTAATCAGTCGCCAGAGGCTTTCCCATTGCCAGATTCAAGAGGGTCTTCACGGCCGTCATCCTCCTCCATCCCTCTGCTGAATCACATGCTGCTGCTGACTCCCTCCCCCCACCTTTTCCAGCTTTCTGGAATCTCCTCCTGAATTCCATGACACAGCACTCTTGTGGTCTTCATCCTACTTCTCAGATAGGTCTTCTCTCTCTTCTTTGCTGACTCCTTTCCTTTCCTTTAAAGTGAAGATGGTCTCCAAACAAACTCTCCCCTCCTGCCTCTCCTGCCCCTCTGTCTCCCTTGGGAATCTCGTCCACCCCTATTGGTTTAGTGCACTTCTTTAGCCACAGATACCTCCCTCTCTCTGCCTCCCCTCCCCTACACCTGCACATTTAACTCTCTGCTGGATGTTGTCACATGGATAATCTCAAATTCTGTCTGTCCAAAGATCAGTCTCATCCTGGCTTTCCCCACACACCCATCTTTTTCTCTAGTATGCCTTGTCCCAATCACCTCAACTGAAAACTCTAGAGACAGCAAATTCCTCATTATTCATTCATTCATTCACTCAGTTGCTCATACTACAAATATTCCTTGAGTACCTACTTTCTGCCAGACACTGTTCTGGGTGCTGGGGCTGTGGCAGGGAACAAGGGAGTCCCAGCAGTGGTCTCACAGCATTCAGTTGGGCTGGGGAGGTAGAAGCTGGATAACAGATCATGCAAGGAATTGGTGAGTTAAGATTGGGATGGGGGTGCCGAGGGAGAATTCCAGGGAGAAGTCCAGACGCTGTAGCTTTGCAATGCTGCCTACATCCCCACCCTCCACTCTGTGACTGCTGCTAATGCCTTGGTTCAGGACCTAGAGATTCTGGATTTATCCATAACCTCTAACTGTCTCTCCCTCAGCTCTCATCCAGCCTCCACGTGGCCATCCAATTAATCTTCCTAAAGGGCAGATTTTCTCATGCATACACACCCTGCAATGGCTCCCCATGGCCTTGTTAAACTGATACGAGTCCTTGTGCTGACCTTCAAGGCCTGCACAGTCTAGCACCCGTCTTCCTTGCTGCTCGTGTGCCACCTCTTGCACAGGGCTCTGCTTAGCACGTATTATTTCCCAACAGATAATCTTTCTGAGAATGCCTGGGCATTTGTGCATGCTATTCCCACAGCCTTGGAACCTCTTACCCTCATCTCTGCCAGTTCAAATCCTGGCTCCATCACTTACTAAGTAACCTTGAGCAAATGACTCAATGTTTTCTCATCTATGAAATGGAGACAACAACACCTATTCCCAAGGCTTGTAGTGAGCATTGAATGAGGTGATGCAAATAAAGTGCTCAGCCCAGTGTTGGCACAAAGTAGGTACATATTATCTAACATCATCGCAGTCATCATTATCATCATCAGCAGCATTGATTTCTGAAGATCTCTCTCAAACAGCACTCCCTCCATGCAATTTCACGGATCTCCTTGGCAAGATGTGAGGGCATCTTCCCCTTTGGAGACCTGTGGCACTTTCTGGGGGCAGTATTGCCTGCCTCCAGTACATGCTCTCTTTGTCTGTTTGTCTTTCTTTGTCTTGCCCTTCCTGGTTACTCTGAGCTCCTCTCAGGACAGGACCAGTATCTTGTTTCATTTCTCCTGTCCCCAGAATTGGCTACATGTCCTGGTACATGGTAGATCCTGAGGACGTGTGTGCCGGGTTGAATTTAACGTGTCAACGAGTGCATGAGGGTGTGTGCGTTGAAAGTATGACCCCGTGTGTGCAACTCTGGACTTAGACATCGTGTGAGTGCGTGCGTGTGTGCAGGGTGTGTGTGTGTGTATGTTTTGCCATATGCCTGCGGGAGTGCTGAGGTCCAGCAGGTTGCCGGCAGTTGAGGATTTGGGCCAGGCCGCCAGGAGGCGCTCCTTAGCGATTCTGCGGGAAGCCTTGGTCTATCCCTGCGCGGGAAGGGGGGTGAGGGTGGGGGTGGGTGGGAGTGGGGGTGGGTGGGGGATGCTGCGCTGGGGGAGGGGAGGCCGGGGGCGGCGAGGGATGCCGTCGTAGCACCAGGTTTCCGTACCTTCAGTGCGCCGGGGACCCAGGGCGCGCCTTCAGCTTCCTTCCCCTCTCCGACTCCCTCCGAGCCCGTCCCAGCCCAAGCACCGACTCAGGCTCGACCATCTGAGCCCCTAGAGGTTTTCGGGACTGGGCCCCGCCATCTGACAGGCTGACTCGGGTAACCTGCAGTGGTTGTCCTTATGGCCGTTTTTCTGTTTTTATGATTCAAGTCTGGGCTATATTCACCGCAACTCAATTCAACACTCATTTGCTTCTGGCAGGGGACTACGCCAAAGGCAGTGGCAGAGACAGGGGATGTCACTCCACCCCCTCCCCCCGCCCCGTCCCCACCCCGTGGCCCGGGATGGGAGACGCATGGGGGAGGGGAGGGGCAGCGGAGGATGGGAGGAGGTAGGGAGCCGACTCCGGCTGAAAAGCGGAAGTGGCCGGGGGTTCCCGTTTCCCGGCCAGAAGAGAGGACAGGAACCCCGGCGCCCCTCTCCCGGACCCCCGCGGAGACCCACACCCCCAGCAGCTCTGTCCTGGATCTCCCGGTGGGCCACGGAGAGCGCCCCTTCCCCCAACACACATAGCTCCAACCCCAAGACCCGGCCCGGTTTCAAACTTTGCTGGGGAAGGGGGCAGATTGAGGCCGACGAGAACGAGAGCACAGAAGGGGTCGTTCCCGAAGACTCCAGGCGGCGGGCGTGCGCTGTCCAAGCGGCGGCTCCTCCCGGAAAGGGACAAATAGTCCCCTTGGTCCCCCATCCCCTGTCAATGTCTACGTTCTCCTCCCCTCCACCTGCGGTCTGTCCGCCCCCCTGCCGCCGCCCTCTGACTCACTCCGGGAGTGCGCACTGTACCCCTGGGGGCGACTCCCTCCTCCGGGGCGAAGCGTGCTCCGGCGGGCTTCGGGTTAAGCACAGCCAGAAGTAGCTTAGATCGACGTCCCCCACTCCCGCGAGCTCAAAGTTGTTCTCTGGGTTCAGACTTGAGTCTCCGCCGCAGCCGGGGCGGTCCTGGCTCCGGGACCCCGGCCGTTCGGGCTCTGCCCGGAGTCTCCGGCTAGGGCCCACGCTTCCTCTTAGTTCGCAGCTAGCTGCCTGCTCGCGGCCCCTCGCAAGGAGCTGTCCTTTCAGCACCACGGAGAGCGCACCCGGGAGTGTCCCCTTTACCGCCTCTCAGTCCCCATCCGGTGCCCAGGCAGCCTTGGGGAGCTGTCCCCCCGAAAGCCGTGCTCCCCAGCTTCCCGAGCTGCCCCAAGGCCTCGAGGCGAGAGCCGGGACCCTGTTGCCCACAGCCCAGCTCCGCCCTCCCGGCCCTCGGCCAGCACCGACCTGGCGGTCCCTGCAACCGTCTGAGCCACTGCAGGGCTCCGGCCCGACTCCACGAGGTGGTTCCTTCTGCTATTCCAGCTCCCGCCGCCGCGTGCAATTCCGCCAGGCGAGCTGGAGCCGCGGCTTCTGCCGCGGGCGGCTGCCGAAGGCGCCCTCCAATCACGCCCCTCAGCCGGGCCCTGACGTTCTACCGCTCCCCTTCCAGATGGGAAATTCAAATCTCTCTCTCTCTCTCTCTCTCTCTCTCTCTCTCTCTCTCTCTCTCTCTCTCTGTCTCTCTCTCTCTCTCTCTCTCCTCTCTCTCTTTCTCTCCCTCCCTCCCCCCTCGTCCCCTCCTTCTCTCCCTCTCTCCCTCCCTCCCGTCTCCTTCTCCCTCCATTCCTCCCCCTCTTTTCTCGCTCCCCTCCCCTCTCTCCTCCACCTTACACTGTTCTCCTCCCCCTCGCAGACGCCCCTGCCGCCTCCCTGCAACCAGACATCCTGGCCACAGCTCCAGGCCCACAAGCTTGCTGCTCCTGAGGAGTGGTGGGGGCAAGGGGTGGAGGAAGGGTTCTTTAAAGCAAAGCTCAAAGTTCACCTCCTTGGGAAAGCCCTCCTTGGTTTCTCCAGGCAGAGTGGTTGCACTTCTTGCGGCTCCTGCCACTCCCAGACAAGCCCTTGCCTCAGCGACCCCCGTTCCACCTGTTGGTTTGCCTCTTGCCTGTGAGCAGCTCCAGGACTGGACCTTGGCCAGGTCATCTTTGCAGCCCCCCAGCACAGTGTCCAGCCACAGGAGCACTCAGGAAACACTGATGGAGCGTGTGGGCAAGACCCTCGCAGTGGGTCAGGAACCTCCACTGCGCACCCAGAAAGAGAAGACTGATGCAAAACTGCAGTGGACCTTAGGCAAGCCACTCGCCAATCCCTTTGAGATCTGATATCCTGTGAAGAATAAGGACTCCTCTGGCAAAATTTATTCTAGAAGGCCATTTCTTTTCCTCCTATGCCCAAGAAAGTAAAAGGACTTCCAAGAGGCAGGACAACATCTGCTCCCACCCCCAGCCTTTCCTCTTCCCCTTGCACTCATTTTTGTTTTGTTTTGTTTTGTTTTATTACTCTCACCTAATGAGCCTTTTTATTCTGCCTGCCATCTTTCGGCTCCCAATTACTCCAGCCCGATGTGTAGGAAAATGGCTTCGGAGAGGAGGGGCCTTGCACAAGGCCTGTGAAAGATCTGCAGGAGTTTCACATCCATCAAGGTATGTCAGAGTGGAGATGGCTTCTCCTTCTAAGGGGATGGCTTCCTTCCAAGGAAGGGGCAACAAGAGCTGCAGAAATGTGATTTTGTTCCAGTGAGGGAGAACTTATCCCTTCACACACGATCACAGCAGAGGCCTTAAAGCAGGAGACCCCCCCACCAGTCAGAGGCCATTGGTGAACCCATCCTCGTCACCTGGAGAATCACCTTCTGAAGTCTATGTCTGTTCTCCCCTTACAGGCTTGTGTAAGGAAGGCCCCTCCTTTAGGGCTGAGTTCCATGTTTAGCACTGTGTTGGGCCATCAGCATAGAATGCTTATTCTTTATTTTTCTTCCCTTTCCTAGGGCAGATACTAAGAGGGGGATGGCAGTGGCAGGGAGGCTCTTTGATTAGAGTGACTTAGACTTTCCACTAATGCCTGAGGGGAATTCTGGGCAGGGAGATCTGACATCATGTCATTTCAAGTGCACAGTCCTCCCCGTCCCCTCTTTCTTCATGTGCTTCAAGAATATTCTCAGTAAATGGGACCTGGCTGGCAGCACTCTGGTTACAATTGGAGTTTTTCCACAACTGGTATTGCTTTTGACATGGACATCAACTGAGCTGGGCTACAAATCTAGTTGAGGCTTAAGGAAAATACTGAGCTCAGTTATGGACACCACACTTTAAGATGGACTTTGACAAACGTGAGTATGTCAAGCTCGAGAAGGGGCTAGTTTGGTGGTGGGCACCTGGAAATCAGGTCAAATGAGGGCAGGTTGAAGGATTTGAGGATCTTTCACCTGGAAGAAAGAACACGGAGGGGGCATTAACCCTTTAAGGGCTGGCAATTCCTGCTTAATTTATAATTCCCCCGCTTAGTAACGTGCCTGGCAAAGTAGATGCTAAGGAAGTGCTTGAATGGATGAATAACTGTTGTAGCGGAAGAGTAGTACTATTGCTTTTTCTATTGCTGGCGATAGAATTAGGGCAATGGGGGAAAGGTAAAGGAAGCAGGCAGAAGCTCTGAGAGGAAGAACTGGCTCTCCATAGGAGCTGTCCAGCCATAGGATAGACTGCCCTGTGTGGGGTTATGGGTTCTCTATCTCTGGAAGATGGCAGGTGTGTGGGAGGCTGGTCCAGCTGATGGCTAAAGCCCCCTTTGAACCCAAGCATCTTTGAGTCTATAAAAAACTGCCTAAGCTGACATGAACTGTGTCTCACTGCAGAAAATCTCACTGGCGAATAGGAAGGCAGCTCAGCCAAGTTTTGGTGACTTCATTTTGTTGCACAATAAGGGGTAAATCATGACACTTTAGCCATTAAAGGTGACGAAGAGATGAGTACCTGCTCCCTATTCAGTGTTACCAGCCTTGACATGCTTCCCGAAGGCCCTACTATTATTGAAAAAGTTGCTGAATATCATAAGTCTTTCCTAATGATTAAAATACTACTACTAATAGTGAATATTTGAGCTTTCATTATGTCTCAGGTGTTAACTTTGGTGCTTTATATAATTTACATTTTCTCATTTAATTTACACAAGCACTTATGTTCAAGATGGGAAAGTTGAGGCCCAGGGAGATAAAATGAATCTTTGGCAGAGCCAGGGTTCCAGACCAGGCTTGCCTGACACTGAGTTCTGTGGTCCTTCCAGCACGTGGGGCTGCTTCTCTCCTGACACATCCCACAGCCTATGGAAATGTAACTTTTGCTCTGCAGATTTTTTTTTACATTGGCATTTATAGTCTTCCCTGTTCTCCAGTTTCTCACTAAAAGAAAAAAAAAAAAACCTGCCACGAATTCACACCCAGATCGGGGTCCTCATGTCATGTGGGTTGCCAGCATTTCCTTCATCTCCTGCATCTCTAATCCAGCGGGAGTGCAAACAGGCCCAGCCGCAGGTTCTTGCCGAGCCTGCTCTGTAGACAGCTTCTAAGAGTCACCTGGTAAAATATAGATGTGGCTCTGCTTCAGGTGACTTATCCTGACTGGAGCTGAATTTCCACTTTTATTTATGAGCCCTGGGGGCAGGAGGAGGGGTTCAGATTTGAACAGATTTGTAAGATGTTATGTATATGCCTTGAATGTTCAGTAGGAAGCCAATCAAGAGAGCTAATGTTAGTACTTTGTGTGAGGATCGAGGAACAATGTGTGAGGAATGACAACTGTCACAGACCATAAACGTGGTGATCAGTGAGAGAGCTTGCGTAAGGTGCCTGTCCAAAGGTCAGCCCATTTCTTCCCTGCAATTGCCTCAGCCCAGAGGGCATCCTGGATGCCATGTGGGAGGTGAGGGGGTGTCTAGGAAATGCCAGGCACCAGCTCTGATCTGGAGCTCGCTGGCTGGTCCTGAGCTTGCTGGGAGTTACGTTGGTGGGTGCAGGGAGACATTCAAATGCTCCAGACACTGGCTTCACATCCTGTCATTCTAGCCTAAGCCTGGAGGGGCAGAGTTGGTCTTGGTTTGGGAGGTTGGCCGTGTGCCCGAGGAAACAGAACTGCGGGGGTGGTACACAGAGAAGGGCTCTAGGCCACCTTGCTCATCTGATGAGTGCCTTCCCTCTTGTCACTGACAATGGCCGGGTGCCATCACTGTGAGGGTCCCAGTGTACCTCCTTTAACATGGAATGGCATGGTGTGAGGGCAAACCCATAAGTGTGCAATGGTGTATTTGAGTGCCCAGCAGTGTGGGACTGTGCAGGTGGGAGAGTGGCAGCACTCATGTGCAGTGACACAGGCGCTGTGTGTCATCATCAGCGTGTGGCAGGGCAGGCGTGCGTCTCTGACTCTCGGTGTGTGGTGGTGTTTCCCTCCTGATGGGATGTGACTCCTATGTCAGCGTGTTGTTGGTGTGTGATGGTATAGACCTACGTGGGGTGTTATTAGAGTAGAATAAGTCAATGGCATTGTCTGGGCATTTGGCTGTAAGGCAAGAGTACCACATAGAGCTGTGCAGGTTGTGTACTGCACAACCACAGAGGGCACCATTTACATAGACTGTGCCAGACACAAAGGCTCTGGGGACGTGTCACCATTTCTGTATATTGGTGTATGTCTGAGTGTTGCTGTCAGCCAGTAATGCCCCAGGTGATAGGGTGTTACCATCAGTATGAAATGGTGTAGTCCTGTGTAACCATCAGTGGTAAGGCTGCAGATATGAGTGTGCCACAATGGGCTGGAACATGTGTCACTGCTATTGTGTAGGGCAGTAAGGGTGTGTGTGTGCAGCCAGGAGTGTGTCATTACCACTGGGCAGGTATGCAGGCAAAATGTGTCACAGATAGTGACTGACCCCTCCTTGTCTATTCTGCCCCCACTAGAGGCACCCTGATTAATCCAACTTGCTGGCTTCTATCCCACCTGGGAAGCTGCAAAAGCCCCAGCACCTTTCATTCTTATTTTATTTTTTTAGATACAGGGTCTTGCTCTGTTGCCCAGGCTGGAGTGCAGTGGTACAATCATAGCTCACTGCAGCCCTGAAGTCCTGAGCTCAAGTGATCCACCTCAGCCTCTTGAGTAGCTGGGACTACAGGGGTGCACCACCAAGCCTGCTGATTTTTATTTTTTTTATTTTCTGTGGAGACAAGTTCTCACTATGTTGCCCAGGCTAGTCTTGAACTCCTGGCCTCAAGCAATCCTGTCTTAGCCTCCCAAAGCTCTGGGATTGCAGGCAGGAGCCATGATACCTGGGTTCATTCTTCACTTTTCTCAGAAAGAGGGTACCAGGCTCAACATATGAACTCTGACTCATTGGTCGTGCATGGAGTCCATGTGGAAATTCCCTGGGGGAGCCCCTCCCTATCCCAAAGCCCTGCCCCTAACTCAGAGCCTCTCTCCCAGCCCAGCATCTGCCCAGCAGCTCCTCAGAGGTCCTCTGCCAGCCTTCATCCCGTCCCACCCTCCCAGATTCAGGCACTCATTAGCATGTCAAAGCAGTCGTCTCCCAGCCCACACTGTAGCCCTGTATATCCCCACTTGGTTAGCTCCCCTCATCCTGTGCTTTCCTGAAACCTTGCATTTTCATGTCTGCAAATCAGTCTGCAGTCTCCTTGCCCCCATCCTATCAAAGGAAGAATATTTTGGTAGTAAATCTTTCCTCTCTTGCCTCTGGTTCTTTTTCCAACTCTCATTTATGACTTCTGTCTCCTCTCCTCCAACCTCAGTCCTTTCAACTCTTTGAGATGTGTTTGGATATACCCGTCCATTAAGAACTCTTCTCTGATGGCCTCTCCCTAGAGCTAGCCAATGACCCCAGCCAAGCATCCTCATTTCTGAGTCCCAGCTCTGGACTTGCCCAGGCACAATCAGTGTAGCATCAAAGTTTGCTTTCCATGCTCTCGAGAGGGTCCCCCTCCTGAGTGTCTGTCCACCCTCAGGACGCTTGGTCCCTTTTCCTCTCCACCAGTGAAACCCATGCATGCTCAGAAAGACAATTTTTACACATTAGAATCCTCCTTAGCCACAGGGAAATAGAATAACAGAGTTGCAGGATACTAGAATCATGCAAAAGACCATTTTAGAATCACATTTAGAATCACAGAATTATAGGCTCCCTACAACACTATATGTCAAAGAGTAGCCCACTCCTACTCAGAACCACTGGAGTGGGGGACTTGTTAAAAAATTGCAGATTCTTGTGCTTCATCCCACATGGCACAAACCAAAATCTCTGACACGGAAGCCCAGGAATTTGCATCTTTTGCCCAGCTCCGCAGGTGTTTCTGACACATCGACTGGTTGAAAAACCCTTGCCCTGGGTCAATAGAGTCAGAGAATCATAAGATCCTGGACCCTCATCTTACAGAAAAACTGGATCGTGGAGCCATAGAATATTTTAGGATTCATGGAAGCTTCAGATCAACCAATTACACACATTCACTCACAACTTTAGAATCTTAAATTCTATGAATCTCAGTGTCAAGAATTGTGAAGTTGGAAGTGACCCTGGAGTGTGATTTTGTTCCCGTTCTAGGAGGAATTTTTAGTTTCCAGCCTTCCTGTTCCTTTTGGAATGGAAAGCTTTTTCCCTTGTCCCTTGAACGACTGCCTCTATGGTGTCGCCTACATTTGTGAAGATAGATGTTCTTTCCATCTTGGTGCAGAGGCAGTCGGCAGAACCCCTGCATTTATGGAGTAAGTGAGCTGGAAATGACTTCTACTTTCCATTTAGAACCAGCACACTCTGGCCCACAAAACAGATCTTGCTTGTTGATAAAAATGAATTCAAAAGGACATTATTGCTGTCTTGTTAAAGCAAGGATATTGGTTGAACATGGACAACAGAGGTTAATAAGCTTATGGGGCCTCTGGTCGAGGAAATGAAAGAAAGAGAAAGAGTGCCAAGGGGCAGAGGAATGCTACTGGAGATTAATAGACGAGTGTGTGTGTGTGTGTGCGCGCGCGCACATGCGTGCATGTGAGTATGTGGTTGGGGGAGGGTTGGATGAAGGGAGGCAATGAGGCATGCATTAAAGAAATCAGTGATGAAGAGAGAAATTTCTGGTCATCTAACCCAGTGTCCTCAGTTTACGGATGGGGAAACAGAGGGTGAGAAAGGGGAAAGGACTTTCTCAAGGTCACATAACAAGTTAATGAAACTTCTCACTCTAGGTAAGTATTCTTTTTTAGGTATAACTCAGCGCCCAGCTCCACACGTCCTAAACACCTCCAGTGTGCCAAGCATTGCTTTAGGGACATTACGGATGTCAACCCTTTAAGCCATATGACAACCCTATGTAGCAAGCATTTTTCACTCACTCATTCTCTTATCTAACATATATGGAGAGCCTACAGCACCCCAGGAGCTCTCCTAGGCAAAGGTGTACAAGAAGTTCCAGAGTTTCTCTTCCCCCACTTCGTTCCACAGTGAGAGATGCAAATGCTTCACTAAGAGCTAACACACGGACCAGTTCACACTCTCCAGATCCTTTCAGATCCGAGACTCTGTGATTTGAAGCACTCAGAAGCAAGTGGGAGACAGATGCCCGCAAACAGTCAATGACCATACAACATGTTAAGTGCTGTCTTAGTGAAGAGGGAGCTCTGAGGAAGAGAATCAAACACACACAGCTTGCAAGCCAGATGGAATTGGAGGCTCAAAGCAGGGAAGGGGCAGGGGTGGCTGGTACCCCCTGCTCCTGATGCATGAAAGCTCTGGGGCCATCCAAGTCATCTCAGAGGTTTCATGGTGGTGGCAGCCATGGGCACTGGCCACGTAAAGACAGGGAGTTAAATCTCACTAATTCTCTGCCCCTTCCCATGGTGTGTGGCTTTTCCCTGAGACTGTGTCCCATTGGTGAAATGGGGGAGTGATCTCTACCTTCCAGGGTGGTTGTGTGGCTCTAATCAAACAATGCTTAGGAAATAGCAGCATAGCCTCAGCAAGTATTAATTCCCTCTTTCTCTCCAACACCCAGGCAAGGCATAGCATTCTCTTCTGGAGTTCAGGGCAGACTAACCACTAGACAAAACCTCCTTTTATGATCCTCTTGGTCAAAGAACTCTGCCTCATAATCTTCCTGCATGTATTTAAGTTGGAATGAGAAAGAAAAGAATTTAAAGCTTAGAGGAAAATGGGGGAGATGGTTCTTCTTCTTTTTACCCCTTTTCTTGGCTTCCTCCCTGCCTCTCCTGCACATGAAGGCCTAGGATATTTGTGTCCTCCAAAATGGGAACTGTGTGAGGAAAGTCCAGAGGGGACTTAGACTTCAGGCCCAAGAACAGGAGGAATTTTCCACCCACAAATTTAAAAATGGCTGCTCTGGGCCACTCAACCTCCAGTTGTTTCTTCCTGGCAAAAAAACAAAATAAAACAAAACTCCCTTTTATTTGGCAAACAAGAAAAGGATTGGGGAAGTCTTGGGAAGATGAAGCCAGGGAAAAGCTTAAAGGGCAGAAGAGGAAGGGATTTTCATCGACTGAGCCTCTCATGGGGGAAGGTGATTCATAATCTTTATCTGATTTAATCCCCAGGCCCTCGCCTCCGTTACCTTAAATATCATTATCTCCACTTTGTATTCAGAGAGGGATATTCAGACTCAGAGAGGTTAAGCCCTTGTTCAGGATAACACAGCCAAGAAGCAGCAGCAACAGCATCTGAACTTGGTGTCTCTCTCCAGGTGGCCACATTTCCTGAGGGAGATTGGGGGTTTCTAGAAGCTGACCCTGGGTCTGCAGCTTCAAGGCAACTAGTCCCAGAGTTTGGGTGATCTTGCTAGGGCACCCTATATGGCGACCTCACCATGGGCTGATCCTTGATGGGGCTGGGTGTTCTAGGTCTCAAGGTGACCAAAAGTGACGGAGCTGTAGGTCAGGGCTCAGAGCTGTGCCCTAAGGACTTACATAAGAAATTCCCTCTGGGGTAGGCCTTTGTGCACTTCCAGTCAGCTTGGCTCAGCCCTGTTCTCACCACCAGCCTGGGACCACTTCTCCTGCCTCTGCTCTTACCTTCTTCTTTACTTTCTAACTGGCTTCCAGACCTGTAGGAGAATCAGAGCTTTCTAAAACACAGAGTTGACTGCATCACTCCTCTCCTTAAAACACGCCGTAGTCACAGCTTTTTGGCCAACTCCTTCCTCGTGTGGCATCAGCTTTGGAGGAGCCCACCTGTGTATTTCATTTGGACCCATGGGTGGCAGATCACATGAACTGGGCTGGACTGATCAGCACATCTGGTCCCCCAGTCCCCAGAGATCAATTGAGGGCACATGAGCAGAGAGGGCCAGAGAGACTCCATTCTGGGTCTTATACTTTTGTCTCTTCCCTTTGTTTCTTGTTTAAAGACACTTTAAGGATCCAAAAGGAGCCTAACTAATACAAATCCTTTAATGCCTTCCCATTGCCTTCAGTATAAAGTCCAAGCCCTTTAAACTGGCCTTGAAGGCCCTTGGTGATCAGACTCTGACTGCTTTCTGCAGTCTCATAGTAGCCACTTGTGCCCCATCAACACCAGATGATTTACAGTTCTTGGATATGCCACAACCTCAACCATGTTTCTGAACTTTTGCCCGTGCTGTTTGCTCTGGGTGGAATGCCTTTGTCTGCTCTGTGCACTTGGCAAACCTTTGCTTTGACCATCATGGCACAGCTAGAGCATTAAAAAAAATCTAATTTGGGAAACAGGATGGAACCACCCATGTGGAACTACCCATGCACCCATGTGGACCCCTTCATTGTAGCACTAAGCTTTATACTTAAGGTTGCTTTCTTGGCTGACTTCCCTACTAGATTGTGAGCTCTTGGAGGATGGGACTCACTGAAGAGGAGGGAGTCCTTTACTTAGCAAACACATACTGAGCATCTACTGTATGCCAGGGACTCATCTTGTTGCTGGGGATACATGGTGAGAAAATACACAAATTTCTGTCTCTTCTAGTAGGAGAAGTGGGCACTGCTTGAGCAAACACACCCAGGGGCAGGGTGCTTTCAGCAGGTGCTGGGCTATGACAGAATAAGACAGGGGCATGCTGGCTTCATGTCTCTGGGCTCAGAGCCCAGAGAAGGGCCAGGCCCAAAACAGGCCCTCAGGAAGTGGCTGTTTAATGAATGATTAAGGAACGTCCCCAGACACCCAGGTGGCCCTCTGCTTTCCTTTATGACTGTTACTCAGGACTCTGCCAGAACCTCTTTGTTAGAGAGTTAGTCCCAGTTTCCAGCCTACACCCCCTCTTGAGGGGGTCATGGTTATATAAATGACATTGGGGTGCATCTGTGCAACACTCACCTTTCCCAGTGAGAGCTGAACAAAGCAACATTCTCTTTGACTTCACAGGGCCGCTCTGTCCCCACCTGGGTCCAGCGTCAGGAAGCCGCTGTGCTCCCCTGCCTGACTTTGATCAAGGCTCTCCCCGCCTCCAGCTTTCTAGCCTTCCCTCTGCCGTCTCCCTTCTAGGCCTATTGCCAGCCCTTTGATCCTCTCTGTGACTCTCCACTGGGCCTTTGTCTGGCTCTATTAAGGCGGTGAAGCGTCACCCTGCTTGGGTCACTCCTGTGCTCAAAGGCCTTCAGTGACTCACCATTACCTGCAGCATCGGGTCCAAACCTACTAGGGCCCCTCTTGATCTGACTTCTGCTTCCTTTGTCAACCTGTTTACCTCAACTCTTCTCCCACATAGTGCTCCCTGCTGCAGAGCCCTCCACACCTCTGGGGCGCCCTTTTTACCCTATGTTTGGTTGTCTCCTGCTGCTGGATCCTAAGCTGCTTGAGAGCAAGTGCATGCCTTGCTCATCCCTGAATCCCCAACATCAAGCCCAAGGCTTTTTTGATTGTGGATGGTCAACAAATATTTCCAGAGGTAGAATACATGCCTGGCATTGCCCCACCTACTTGGGGTTGAAATAACTTGTCTTGGCCCATGGCCTTTGAGGTCCCCATCTCAGGGGCAGGATTTGCAGACTGAGGCCACTTTCTGGATCACAGAGCATAATAATAGCTCTGGCATCCTTGTTTAAATCTTGCACTTGCCTCTTCTGAAGCTTTTTTTTTTTTTTTGTATTTCTCACCCACACACATAACCCCATGAGATCCTTCCATGCTCTCACCCTATCACTATGGCATTATGTCATTGGGATGTTTCTGGTGTAATTTGCTGTGGTCATAATACATTTTTGACCTGTCTAGTGTTGCCTGGAGTTCCTGTCTTCTTCCACCCTCAGTCTTTGTGGTTTGGGTGGGGTTGACTCTATGTCCTACTGCCATGGGTGGGCATTAGATCCATAGCCAGCTAATTAGAGTGCTGGATAGCCACCTGGCCATGGTGATTGGCTCTAGGATGGCAAGTGACACAAGCTAAGCCAATGAGAGTCAGCCCTGGGACTTTAGCTGGAACCAACAGGAAAGAGACCCTTCCTTCCTTCCTTCCTTCCTTCCTTCCTTCCTTCCTTCCTTCCTTCCTTCCTTCCCTCCCTCCCTCCCTCCCTTCTTTTTCTTTCTTTCTTTCTATCTATCTTTCTTTCTTTCTTTCTTTCTTTTTCTTTCTTTCTTTCTTTTCTTTCTTTCTTTCTTTCTTCTTTCTCTCTCTCTCTTTCTTTCTCTCTCTTTCTTTCTCTTTCTTCCTTCCTTCCTTCCTTTCTTTATTTTTTTTGAGACAGAACTGGAGAGCAATGGCACAATCATGGCTCACTGCCGCCTAAAACCTCCTGGGCTCAAGAGATCCTCTGCTTCAGCATCTGCAGTAGCTGGGGCTACAGGCTGGTCTTGAACTCCTGGGCTCAAGTGATCCTCCTGCCTTGACCTCCCAATGTGCTGGGATTACAGGCATGAGCCACAGTGCCTGACCAAAAGGAGGCTGTATGTATGGGATTAGCAGGGCTGGCAGAATGTGGGACTGAGCAGCTGGTGACTGGTTTGCCACCACCTGGGGAGGGCCTGCCCGAGGGTGATGCCAATGCAGAGAAGCACACAGCTGAGCGAAGGGCAGGAGACAAATTCCTGATGACAGTGTGTGAGGGCCCAGGTCCCGGCTCTGCTCATGCACTTTTCAGTTATGTGAGCCAATAAATGCTGCCTTTTTACTTCAGTTGCTCTGAATTAGGTTTCTGTCTCGGCCACCTGGAAGGGACCTGCTGGAATCTGTAACTTTGGAGCTGTGTGTCCCCTCCTTCAGAAAACTTCTTATCAGGCAGGTCCAAATCCTGGGAAGCCCCACCATTTAATATTCTCACATTCAAAGAAGAAGCTGATCTTCCTTTGTCTCTAAGCTGCATCTTGACCTACTACAAGCTGGTCCCCATGGTCACGTTGACTGAAAGAGAGGGAATTCACAATGGTGGTGCTTGCTTAAAGATTTGCCAAAGTCCAAACATCATATCCACAGTTCATATCTCCACACCCCCTCAAAGATGCACATACTTTTGGCCAACAGCTCTGCAATTTCACCTTTGAGTGGCGTCGGCATTCTTGGGCAGGTGCCATCTGTTCCTGGCAATTTGTCTGCATCTAGTTTGTCAACTGGAGTTGGAACATTTGCCTGCAAGAGCAGTGCCTTTGGTGCCCTTACTTCCAAGAGACCATTTGGGAGCAGGGATTTCCCTGGGGTCCTCCTCAGTTGGGACTGGGGCTGTGGCTTCCTCAGATCTTCTCGATATCTCTTTTTCATCTCAGAGCTATGATCATCAAGCATCTTGCCAGTTCTTTATCTGGCCTCTTTCCATTTGATGCATTTGAAAGGCCTCTTATTCTTGGTCCCACAGGCCTTCCCAAGGTGACTTTCAGAGTGTGTTTGGACTGCATAATTTCAAGGCCTCTCTGCCCTGGCTACGCCTCCTGATTCCAAGTCATCAAGTTTTAAATGTTTTCCCAAAGATGCTTTTTTCTTTGCAATAGCCTCTCAGATGTGTCTCCTTAGCTTGTTGTTGTTTTTGCTTAGTTTTGTTTTGGTTCCCACTGTGATGGTCAGACCATGCCAGGCTGTAGTTGGAGGAGGGACCCTGTATGCTAGGTTGGTGAGGCTCATGGAGGCTCCATCGTCTTGTGATGCCATCAGATCACGTGGCTTCTCTGGTAGCAAGAGGGAGCTGTGTGTCACCAAGGTTTCCATGCTGGAAAGTGATCCTTCGGACTATCTTGTTTCTTTCTCCGGTTCTGCCCTTTCCCTTCCACTGCTGCCCTGTGGCCAGGAGGCTGCCCCACATAGACCAATCAACAGGCTCCCTTGGTCTTCAGCTTTCTTGGGTTTTATCAAAGAGGTACTGGCAGGGATTAGAGGCAAGGAAAAGAGCACAATCAGAGTGTCTCTCAGCTGAAGGTGGAGGCTTTTTTGCATTTTGCAGCCGGTGCCTATAACTTCGCAAGATCCTTCCATGCTTTGGCCCCATCATCATGTCATTTTGTCACTGGGATATTTTTGGTGTAATATATTGTGTACATTTCCTGCTTGTACCCTCTCTAGGCTTGGCAGCTGCTCCTCCTTCGCCCCTCAGGTTGGAGGTGCTAATGGCTCCCCACTGACACTGGCCCCCGGGGGCTGAGCCATCCTTGTGGCATCTGTTCACGCTGCCCATGCCTTGATGTAGCTCTCCTCAAATGGGCCAGATAAAGTGGCCCATGCTCCCTGCCAGGGTCTTCGTGGATTCACCAATAGCCACATTTCTGCTCACCATTCATTGGCCAGGCCTAGTGCCTTGGGCCTGCCCGCTGCAGGGGGCTGGGAAGGGTGGTGTCGCTTGTGCTCAGAAGAGGGGTAAGTGGGTATGGTTGTGCTCTGGTCATGTCCACCACAGGCACCAGCTCACGATTCCCAGTCCTCAGTATTGAGCACTTTGGGGCTCCAGGAGGGTCTCACCGAAGGAGTTCTCTTACCTCCTATTATGTACTGTTCTTCAGAGCTCTTTTCCCCGGGGAATGGCAGGAAGGGGCATTGGGTTTGTATCCAGACTTTGCCAGGCCCTCACTGTGTGACTTTGGGCAAGTCAGCTTTCCACTCTGAGCCTAAGTTTCCTCATTTGCAAAGTGGGATGTTGACACTTTCCTTGCAGGCACGTTGCTGGGCTGAGACAGTGTATGCACAGGCCCTGGCGCTGCTGGGAGGCACACAGCTACCAGCAGCTGGAATCAACCATCATGCCCATGTCTGGCAGAGACCAGCACCTTCGTGCTCACTTAACACTGCTCCCTGAGCACGTGCTCTGGGCCAGGCATGTCTCTGAGCTGGAATACTGGGTGAATAAGGCAGAGGAGGGCCCTGCCTAATGGGGAGTTTCTGGTGGGAGTGGACAGGCAATTAACAGATACAATGGCTCCCAACTTACAATGGTTCCACTTATGATTTTTTTGAGTTTGTAGTGGTGTGAAAGCAATACACATTCAGTAGAATCCGTACCTCAGGTACCCATACAACCACTCTGTTTTCCACTTTCAGTACAACATTCAATAAATTACATGATATATCCAACGCTTTATTATAAAGCAGCTTTGTGGTAGTTGACTTTGCACAACTGGGCTAACGTAAGTGTCTGAGCACGTTTAAGGTAGACTAGGTTCAGCAATGATGCTCAGTAGGTTCAGTGTATTAAATGCATTTTCACCTTAAAGTATTTTCAACTTACGATGGGTTTATTGGGACATAAACCCATTGTAAGTCAAGGAGCATCTGTGAATGGAAAGATAATTCAGAGTGGTGAGTGCGCTGCAGAAATAAAGCCAGTTGATATGAGAAAGAAAGACAGGACAGGGATGTCCCAGTATGGCTCCTAGAGGTGACATCTGAGCCTGACCTGAAAAATTGGATGAGGCCCATGCTGAAGATCTGGGGCAGAAAGTGTGGCCTGAAGGATGCTCCCTTGAGCTGGGAGTGAGCTTGGCTTGTTCCCAGGACAGAATGGAGCCCAGGTGGCAGGGAATGTAATGGGAACTGAGTCCCAGGTTGTTTGGGACCTCATCAGCCCTAGTGAGAGGCCTGGATGCTATCAGACTGAGATGGGGGCCATTTGGAGGTTTTAATAAGCAGGTAGAATCTGTCATGAGTCCCTAGTTCAGTTCTTCAGTCCCCAGTTCTAAATTCTCTGACTGCATTTGTCAGCTCAGTTTCCTTAGCGAATTGCCATTTTTGGAGAACCAAGGTCCGCAGTGAAGGATCCAGGCAAGTTCCTTCCTCATTTCTGGGAAAGCTGAGGCCCACAGTCCCTGGGTCAGGCTCTGGTCCTACTGATGAAGACAACAGCCAACCAATCACACCCCAGCTGGTCCTCCCCACCCCCCACCTTCCTGAGAACCCGCTGTGCGCAGGCCCTGCACATTTGCCACGTCCTTTCATCAGCCCACTCTTGGTGAGAGGCTGCCATCGTCATCTCTGTCTGTAGATGAGGAAACTGAGGACCCAGTCTCTCCCGCTCCCTCCTCACCTCAGGACAGCTCCCTCTCGCATGCCGCAGCCCACACGGCATCCTGTAAATAACTGCATGTTCCCAACACCTCTCCTCCTTCTCCTTGGAAACCTGCTCTGTCTTTCCACTTGGGCTGCTGGGTTGTCAGATTCCTCGGCTTGGCTCTGCGCGGAGCGTGGCGGGAGCTCAGATGTTGCATTTGAAAGCCTGGGGCTGGGCTCCAGCTTGGCCATTCACTAGCTGGGTGACTGTAGGCAAGTCACTGCACCTCTCTGAGCCTCAGTTTCCTCATCAGAAGTGCAGGGGTACAAAAACCCATGTCTGTGGTGAAGATTAGATGAGGACTGTACAGAAGTCTCAGCTGAATGTGAGGCACACAGTTGGGTGCTTAACGAAAATGGGTTTACATGAGCTTTATACTACCTCATTTCAGCCACACAACCACCTTATGAGGTAAGTACTATTGTTATGCCCATTTTACAGAGAAGGAGAGAGGCAGAGAGAGGTTAGGAAACTTGCCAAGGTCGCACAACTAGAAGGTGCTATACCAGGGTTGCTTCTAGGCTGTTTAGTCCAAGAATTTGCTCTCTTAACCTATCTGTCCTTCTGGAACCAGGATGTCTGCATGGGAGATGAGGCTCACTCCATGGCTGGATGTAGGATGAGGTGGCACTGAGGGATTATTCTGCACTGTCCATGGTCATCCTGTGTCTCTGTGTGGTTGCTATGGTAGACGCAGGTTGTCCTATTTTCTCTGGTAGCCTTTCTTCCGTATAGCACCTTAATATTACCTTGGGGAACCACTCTTTCCCGTTCTCTGGCCATGTGGTTTGGATGGAATTGAATCTCCTTTCCCTCAAGCTCTAGAGATTGGCATGTAATCCAGGCCTAGGATTTAGGGATGAACATGTGATCCAAGATGGTCCAGTGAGACTCGATCCTGGGGCTCGTCCTGAAAATATTAGAAAACCTCTCTTTCTGTTGGACTTACTGAGCTGGGAAAGCATGAGCCTGAAGCTGCAGGGTCACAGTGTGGAAAGAGCCTGCCGCAAAGGAAAGCCACGCCAGAAGAGGTGCTGATAGACAGAGAGAGGCTGAACCTCGGTCACATTTTTTGAGCTCCTGGATCAAGCCCTTCCTGAAATCCAGAGATCTACCCTTGAACTTATCAGTTACATGAACAAATATAACTCCTTTGGCCTTAAACCATTTACATTTGTTTTTCTATCACTTGCATCTAAAATAGGATTGACTGGCATTGTGCTAAGTAGTTCACATGTGTTATTTCACTTAATCCAGTGGGGTACTGACATTGTGATCATTACGCAGATGAAGGAACTAGGGCTAAAAGAGGTGTCTTATATTGGCTGAGAGGTCACGGCTAGCACATGGTAGAGCTGGGATTAGACTCCACACATTTCGACTCTGGACTGAACCTCGACTGCTCTGCCTTATGGTAGAAGGCAGATGTCACCCCTAAATACTGTGTGTAATGTCTACTCTCCTGCTCTCATCCAGCTGCTCTCCCTGCCGACTGTCATGCCCTTTAATCCCCAGGTCCTCAGGAAAGAAGCCTTGCTGGCTACACCCTCAGACTAAGCTCTGTTTTCTGGTAGACATTTTATGGCCTAATATAATTTTTCTTCTGAGCTCCACTGAACTTCAATAATTATTTGTTCTGGGTTTATCTCTTCTGCTGGGTGGGAGTCCCCCAGAGGCAGAGATGACGTCTGTCTGGCCATTGTTGCAGCCCCGATGCCTTGGCACAGCGCCTGGCCCATGGCGGGTACCTGGTAAATGTTTGTGGAATCAATGGATTGTGTAATTTTTTCGCTCCCACTGTGGCGCTGGATCATGGTACACCTGTTTGACTGCAGTGTTGTATCACTCTGACACTGCAAAATTCACTCTGGCTCTGCTGTCTCGTAGGCTGCTGTGATCTTGGGATGTTTACTTATCTTTGTATACATATTTAGGCTTTTCCTTCTTAACAGTGAGTTCTTTGAAGATGGGGCAGTGTCTCTGACCCCGCATGCCTTGAGTAGTGCTAATAACAGTAGTAATAATAATACAAATAGTACGCTGATAATGAGTGCTCACCACCTGCCAGGCACGGTTCTAAGGCTTTGACATGCATAGCTTCCTTTCATCCTTACATCAATTGTACTGCATGTAGCATTATGACCCCATTACACTGAAGGGCAAACTGAGGCTCAGAAAGGTTGCGTGGACTATTTGCGCCTCCCCAGTTTGAGTTAGGGTTCTGTGTCATGCAATCAAGAGTCCTTGCTTCCCCAGTGACTTTATGGAGGAAACCTAGGCTGGGATGGCAGGCAGCAAGGGTGGCAGGAAGGCTGGGGTCAGCAGGGAGCTTTAAGATTGATCCAGCAAACGAAGGCCTGGCTGTCCCTGGTCAAAAGGAAAAGAGTTCTCACTGTGGAAGATAAAAGGAGAAAAGAGCTGGTCAAAGGAAGGAGGAGCTGTGAGAAGTGGGGGCCTCAGGACAAGGACACATGGGTAGGGGCTCAGGGGTGCTGGGGACAGGGCACCGGGCATGAAGCTGGAGAACCTGGGCTCCTACCCAGCCCCAGCACTTTCTGGCTGTGTGATCTAGAGCAAGGCACTGCGCCTCTCTGAGCCCACTTTCCCAGGCTGATGCCAGGCTTGAGATAACATCTGGGAATTGCTAGCCAGTGCCTGCCATGGAGGAACAGGTACCATGAATGGGGTGCCATGGGCCAGGGGTGCTGTAAGCTCTTCATCTGCATGAACTCAGGGAGCCTCTCAACAGACCTAGAAAGTGGGCATTGCAGCAATCGCACTCCACAGAGGGGGAAGCTGGGGAGGGAAGTGCAGCCGCTTGCTCAAGGCCCTCAGTCGTCAGAGGCCCCTGAGATCTGTGCTCTGGCCGTGTGGTTCCAGAACCGCCCTTTCCTATTGCATCACAAGAAGGGCTTGAATTTGGATGTCCATGAGAGAAGGGGCCGGTGCAGACAGTTGCTGACTTTGTACCGTCTCCTCTTATGGGTTCAAGTTGCTATTTTCATAATTTTACCTCCGAGAGACTCTGCCCCTTGTCCCCAGCATATCTCAGGGCACAATAGACAGATATTTGCCAGCAAGCCTGTGGGAGCCTGTGCTGGAACTGGGGCCCAGAGACAAATAAGACCTGGTACCCAGCTCTTTCAGCAGGTGACAGGGTGGGACTGAGGCCTGGAGCTCCTGACAGCCTCTGTACAACCCTGAAAGACAAGAGGCCGGGCAGCTCTCGGAGGAGGGGCGCTGGGGCCAGTTTCTCAGGGGTCCTCACAGCTGTTTCCAGGGGCACCGTGTGAGGCTGTTGCCAGGGCTGGCCCAGAATTGAGGAGCCAGTGTGTCCCCGGCTTGACTGGTGGAGTAGCACCTCTATGGTATTTGCCACGTCTCCAAACCACCTATGCTATTTACTTAACATTTCTCTCATTTCATTCACTTGCAAAAATAAAACGCTTTGGTGCATTTATTTAAAAAAGAAACCTCACATGGGCACTTTAAACCAGAAAACTAGTATCACTTGTTATTAACAGAAGGTAACAATGCACATAAATGCAGTGAAAAGGAAACCCGTGTACTGTCTTGCCCCACGCTGTTGGGCCTGGGCCCTCAGTCTGAGGCTAGCCCTCTGGTCATGGACAGGGAGGGGGCTAACATTAGAGACTGCTGAGGACGTACTGAGACTTCCTCACAGACATGACTGGAGTGTTGAAAGATTCCTCAGTATATGACTTGCTATCGAGAGTGGTACCCACAGAACCACCTACAGTCACGGAGATGCCAATGCTTCCCTGGGTTTGGAAAACACCGCGAGACACCTTCACCTGCCCGCCCTGCTTTCTCTGGGGTCAGCCCTACTTCCCATCCCACCTAGCTGGTCCTTGGCCTCAGCTCTTCCAGTACCAGGGAGGCAAAGGACTTTTCTGCATGGTTGCTGGATGCACAAGACCCCAGGTTGAACCTGCGTTACTTGTAGCCAAATGGGAAGAAGACACTTTGTCTCTCTGATCCTCAGTTTCCCTATCCAGAAAAAGGCAACAGCAATCCCCATTTCCGGGGCTGTTCGGAAGATTAAATGAGATGCAGTGTGTGAATGTACGTGCCTTTGCATGGTGCCTGGCACAGAAAGCAAGAACTCTAGCTGTTTGGTGCTGATCTGGTCAAACCGAGAAACTGTTTGAAGCCACCTCTGCCGCAATTCCATTTTCTCTTTTGCAGGCTCTTTCTTTCTACCAAGACAGTTCAACAGCTATGGGCTCAAATCTTCTCTCCTCCATCCCTCCAGAGGCAGGTCAACTCTCAAAACCTCCGTTTGCTCATTGTTAAAATGGGAATAATAGAATCCCCTCAACAAGTTACTGTTTAGGCAAGAAAATACTTTGTCATTGGTAAAGTTTCGTATTCCTGTGAGGACTTATTTTTATTATTCGTAACCACCTGGGGTTGGAAGGCTATCAGAGTGTTCCTGGAGTTGGACTGCCTACCCTCAGGGGAAATTATCTGAGTTTGAGCCCACACGAAAGACTTCCTGAGTTCCTGACAGGCTGTGCGCTGAGGTTTCTGTCATTGAGGGGAATATTGTGGGCTCCAGCTGGGGCAGCTTCTGTTTTTAGCTGGAATCATTGCTGTTCAGCCCCCTGTGTAGAAAAAAGAAACACGGTGCAGAAATAGCCCGTCCCAGGGGCTGCCCAAGAGAAGGGCTTATTTTGACTCAGGATGCTGCAGAAGCTGTGGCAGGCTTGTCAAAATACATCTGCCTCTTCTTGAGCGGCCCACGGATCCTCACACTCAAGCCAGGACCAAAGCACGGCTGCCAGATGCACACATCTGGAACCTAGTCCCTGGGAGCTGAGGACAGCCCCGGCGTTGATTCCAGCAATAACCACCTCCTAAACCCTGGAGGGCAAAAAGCAGATATCCTGTGCCAGTGGCACAAAGAAGCCTACCTTGGTCTTGAGACTCATTCATCTTGGTGGCCCCCATGGCTGGCATAAGGCCTAGTAGGGCCTGGAGTGTGGATGAGGGAGCTTCCGCAGCCATTCCTCTGTGGGCCTTGCAGAGGACCCCACAGTGGAAGTTATTACGCCCATTTCACAGGTGGGAAAGCTGAGGTCTGGGCCATGAAGTGACTTCTTGTGGGGGAAATCTCCCTCCAGTCACGTGTTTCTTCTCCACACCCTTTTCAGCACCTCAAGCTGCACGTGCCTCTGCCTGGGATGCCCTTTCTCCTTGTGTGACTGTTTATGACCCAGGACACATGGCACCTGCCCTGGGCAGTCAGCCCCAGCCTCACTGGGCCTTTGTGCAGGCTTCACCGTGGCCCTTCAACCTGGCCCCAACTGGACCTGACAGCTGTTTACTGGAGGAATGAATGAATGGTGCTGGTGTGTTTCATTAAGGGGCTCCCCAGCTCAAACCAAAGGGGGCCACCTTTCAACCTGAGGGTACCTTTGAAGAGACAAGAAAGTGGGCTTTGTCTCTAGTGTGGTACAGCCACCTGTCCACAGGCTCCTCACACGCAAGATGCCCTGAGCCACACTTATTTATCTCCCACCAGAACCACCTCAGGCAGCGGCTCTACCATCTCTGTGGTTCCTTAAGCTCAAATCCCTGGTCTGCTTGGATGCCAAATCTGGACTACTCACCCCCTGAGATCTCGTCTCTCTGCCCCTACCACCTCCCTCCTGCCTCTGGTTCCTCAGGCCTTCCCAGCCCCACTCTGCACCACACACAGCCTCCTAGTTGTGTCTCTGCCTCAGCCTGGCTCCCTCAGCCCCTTCGTCACTCCCAGCCCTCACCTGGTTCCGACTCAGTGAGCCCAGCTCTGAACACATCGCTCTGCCCCTGCTCAGCAATTCACCCCTTTCTATGGTGGCATTTTTCAAAGTGGATCTTGCAGATATTAGTGGGGGTTCTGGGGATGAGGGTGCCCTCGGTCAAATGAGTGGGGATTGCTGGGCTAAATGGAATCAGACAGACTTCCCCTGCAGGACTTCTCAGGGCCTTTGCTGTGCTCCTGTGGATGATGATTTTCCGAGAGGTGAAGCAGCATGTGGCATTTCTAGAACTTATTTGATCATGCACCTTTTGATGTGGAACATCAAGGGGGTGTTCCGAGGAAGTGCAGGTGTGTTGGCCAGAGTCTAGACTAGACCTTGACCTTAGTGGTCAGGGTCCTTCCCAGTGCGGCTCTAGTCTGCTCTGGCCAGCCGAAAGGAACCTCTGGAGGCTCCCTGCGCCTGTGCAGCTTTCCTGCCTCTGTCTCCCGCCCACTCATCCTCCTGCCAGACTTGCGTTTTCCATACAGCCAGCCCTTCCTTTTCTTCAAGGCACGGCCCAAATACCACCCCCTTGCTGGGCCCTGCATGGGTGACCTCAGACCCCAGGGCCCCATATCTGGCTGATGCTAGATCATCCTGAATGTGACGTTGTTACAGGGAAATCTTTGAATCAACCCTAATTTGCTTAAAAAAAAAAAACAAAAAAACTGTCACTTGCAAACTCCAGTATTTTGATCAGCATCAACAGCAGGTTCCTCACTCGGCCTGCGCCATTGCCCTCATGTGCCTTGATGCCGTGGTGTGGCCCGCTGCACAGACCACACATTCCCAAGGATGACTTCTGTGTATGTGGCTCCTTTGGAGCACAGGGAGCCCCTGATTCAGTGGGAAACAGATGGTACCCAAAACCACACTTCTCATGCTCAGAGTCACACGGTCGTTCCCCCAAAGGGACAATTCCATTAATATTTGAGGAAGGGACTCATGTTTGCTGAGAGCCCACCTGGTGAGAGGCCACATGCCATGACCCCAATGGCTGGAGCAAGGCAAGGAAGGTGCTTCCAAGGGGAGATGGAGCCAGGGTGGGGTCCAGGGCCCTGTTGGAGCTCACGCAGCAGGGGAGCTATAACACCGAGAGGCTCAGGTGAGTCCAGCTCCAAAGCCCGGCTTCTCCCATGATGACCCCAACGAGGACCTGCGGCAGAGGGCTTCTCTCCAGGAGCCTCTCCTCTTCTCTCCCTGAGAAGGCTCCCCCAGCCAGTGTGGTCCCCTGTCCAGCGTGGTAGCACCCCCTTGTGCAGGGAGAGTCTCTGCTTATGTGCTATCTCCCCAGCCATGCTGGGAGCCCCTCAAGGTCAAGTCTTTGTGCCTCTAACATCCAGTGTGGGGTTCGGCTGCATGCATGAGGTCCTGTGTATGAGATGAGGGGTCCATGTTTCTTGGCCTAAGGAAGATTCTGGTTCTTTGTGACATCAGTCCCAGGAAAGTATACACGGACGTCCAGTGTTGCGAAACTCACCATCAGGTGTCCCTTTGGAATCAGAGAGCACACTACCCTGTCCTCACCCAAGGGTAGCCGGACATCCCTTTGAGCTGCTGGCTGGTGACAATGGACAGGTCAGTGCCACCCAAACAAGCAAACTGACTGTTTTGTGCTCTGTTTCCACCTGTGAAGTGTGGACATCGGTCCTGCACACACGGCAGCACTGGCTGGTGTTAAAAACACACACCAGCACAGCCTCCCACAGCAGAGGAGGGATCCTGAGAAGTGTAAGTTAGATCACGACACACCTCTGTTTGAAAGTCTCCATTGGCTTAGAAGAAACCAGCACAGGTAGAATGCAATCCAGTCACTCTCTGGGCCTCTGAAGCCCATGCAAACTGAGCCGTCTCCTCTATGCCCTCCTTTCCTTCTGCTCTCCCCGGCTCACTCTGCTTCAGCCACACGGACTCCCTGCCTTCCCCGGGTTGCCAAGCTTGTTCCTGCCTCAGGACCTTTGCACATGCTCTCTGCTGCCTGAAACATGCTCATCTTTGCCTGGCAGGCTCCTTCTTGGTATTCACATTCTGGCTTGAATGTCCCTTCCCCAAAGCAACCCCTCTGATTGCTATATTTAAAACAGGACCTCACTTCCTATTGCACTACTCTATTTAATGGTTTTTGTAGTACTTGCCACTGTCTGGAATTATCTTTATTCATTTAAATGTGTTTATTGCATCTCCTCAACTAGAATGACTTTTCTCTAGGAGTAGGACCCTCACCCACCCTTCCTGTGGCTCTGTCCCAGCACCTGAAATAGCCCCTGAGTCCTCTGAGTCTTACTCTGCCCATGCCTCCCTCGTGCCCTCTCCTTCAGTCACACTGAACAACACCTTGCAATTGCCAGAAGACACCCTGTTCTCCCTTGCCTGTGTTGCACTTGCTTCTCCCTTTCTTGGAATGCCTTGTCCTCCTCCTGTCCCCTGGTTGACTTGTACTCCTACACAAAACTCAGCTCAGCATCGCTTGGTCCAGGGATGCTTCCTGACCCCCTTGGGTAGATGGGCCCCTCTGCAGCAGTCTGTCCCTCCTTTTTGGGGCCTTTCATCATGCCTCAGCCTTTGTACATGCTGGGGACACTCCTTCCTCTCCCCTACCAATGGCTGTGTCTGGCTTCCCTGCCCCCCGCCCCCCTCAGATCTCCTTATAGGTATGATGGGCTCTGGGGAGACTTCTAGGAGTTTCCTGGCTGGACAGACTATCTCCCATCTCCTGCAGTGTCTCTTTGCTGCCAGCCTGGGGCTGTTGAGGCAGGGCTGTGTCTAAACATCTCTTTGGCCCCAGGGCCTGGCACAAAGCAAGCATCACAGATTGTTTGTTGAATGAATAGCAGTGACCATTAGCCCTGTGATGAAGCTGTTAGGTGAGAGACTTGGAACAGCACTGTCAGCATCAGAGGCCATAAAACTCGCCGGCAGCTGAGAAAGCTTGAACCTCACGGGGGGACTGACAGACATGTGGATTGGAGGAGAGGGGCTGGGGGTCCCAGGCAGTGTCTCTTGGTGCCTCTGCCATGGTGGCTGCCTGACTAGCAGAATCGGGGAAGCCAGGGTTAACTCTGTTGTGACTGGCACCATGTAGTGGAGCCTGTGTGTGGTCTGGGCAGGTTCTGCAGCCGCCTTCTCATGCCCCCTGCAGGAGTTGTTGAGTCTGCAGCTAAGCAGGACCTCCCGTTCTCTCTAATCCTGCCCTGGGCTGAGTTGAGGGCAGTAAGATGCCCATCTGAGGCTCAGGCAAGGTTCCTGGAGTATGTGTAACTCTGATGGAAGAGCGCTGGACTTGATGTCCTACAGACCCAGCTTCAAATCCTAGCTTTAGCGGCGGCTCTGAGTGGGCCACGCATGCTGTGAGCGAAGGCACGTCGTGATGGACTAGGAGCCTGTCTGAGTTGCTCTGGGGATGCTGATGGCCCTGAGGTTGTAGATGCAACCTGTGTCGGGGGTGAGACCTCGGACCCAGCCCCTGCTTCTCAGATTGCCTTGGATCCTGAAGGGCTCCAAGAGGGGGCCTCATTTGCAAAGTTTTCCAGGCATGGGCGCCGCTCGCACTCCCCCACGCGGCTCCTCCAACTCAACCTGGTCTGTGCTGCCAGAAGAATCTTCTTAAAATACTCCTCGCCTCACAGCACTCCCCTGCTCAGAAACTTCCTGCGGTGGCCTCACGTCGCCTGGGACGAGGCCCCTAAAGCCCTCCTTGGCCCCACGCCTCTTTATTTACACACCCAGACTCCAGGCGGGGGTCTCCCTTTTGCTTCCTTGGTGCCACCACCTTGTTGATTCATCTCAACGCCTCCTAAATAGGAGAAGTAGCCTCCCTGCACTACATATGAGGAGGCCGAGGTTCAGAGAGCTTGATCAACGTGCCCAAGGTTGCCCAGCTTGGTCTAACTGCCCCTGGAAACTTTCAGGGCCCCTGAGCTTGGCTAGGCCTGCAGGATGGAGTTAGCCTTGCTGCTTTGACTTCCAGCTGTCAGGCAGCAAATCACACTCCAGCAGCCCGGGAGGGATTCAGTGCAAAAGCAAACTTTTCAGACAGAGAAGACAGAAGTCCAGCTTACAGGCATGGGGGAGTGGCATTGAGTTGGGGGGCTGAGGCAGCAAAGGCTCCTAGAACAGTTGGGGAAGAGAAATCAGGCAGGCCAGGGTCAAATCCCAGTTCTGCCACCTGCTAGCTCGGACAACTTGAGCAAGCCTCTTTGTCCCTCTGAGTCTGGGTGTAGTCATGGATTTGCTGTGGTATACAGTAGTGTTCAATAAATGCCCAGTATCTGGGGATGGTATGCAGTTGGTGTTCAATAAATGTCCAGCATCCCAAAAAATCTTTATCTTTCAACCTAGAAGATTCCTCAGAGACCATTAAATCCACCCTGTTTTCATTTTACAGATGAGGAAATTGAGCCTCAGGGGATGGAAGTGACCTGCCCAAGGTCATACAGGCAGAGGGAGGTGGAGAGAGCTAGAGTCTAGGTCCTCTGACTCTCCACGCAGCCCTCTTGACTCTTCATCCTACTGCGGGGCTGACCACAGGTGCCCTTGAGCCCTGGGAACCTACAGGGCAGGGAGAACTGATCTGCCATGCCTGTCCTGTGGAGTCACAGACCAGGAATCAGGGGGTGCAGAATGGCTAGTGCTGGGCCTCACCCCCACCCTTGGGGAGGACTTGGCCAGGCAGGGGGGTGCGGGTGTGTGTGTTTGTGTGTGTGCATGGCCAGAAGTGGAGACCTGCCAGCCAAGCCTCAAAATGAAGGAAGGAAAAGGCCACAGGTGCGGTGTGGGCAGGAGGGTCAGACCTTAGTGCCCTCACTAAGGTCTCGCCCTGATTGATTTCAGGAGGTGAGGGGACAGGCCATCTGCATCTTTCAGATTGCTGGGGATGAAGCCAGAGGGGTGGAAGCCAGGAGGAACACAAATGACTCCCCTTTCCTGGGACCCAGGCCCACCCATCCTGGGTTTCCCTCAAAGTCCTGGGATTCTAGGAGAAAACTTTGCCCTTAGCAGCCCAAAGGCCTGGGTGTAAGTTCTGCCTCTGTTATCTGACAGCCACGTGACCTTGGGCACATCACTCATCCATTTATCCCACAAATATCCCTCGGGCTCTTTCTCTGTGCCAGGCAGTGTGCCAGGCCCGTGGAACCAGCACCAATGAGTCCCCGCCCTTAAGAGACTCACAGTCCAGTAGGAGCAAAGATACTACCTAAGCATGCAAAGACAAGATAATTTCAGGCAATGCTCTGAAGAAAATATGAAGAAAATAACACACAGTGACGCAGATGGGGGCAGTTACTCTAGGGGGAGTGGCCCTCATGAGGGGGAGTGACCTTTGCCTGATGGGATAATCTGCCAAGGAGAGCAAAAGCAGGTGCAAAGGGCCTGTGGCAGGAAAGAGCCTGGTGGTGCTTTGGAGCAATAGACCAAAGGCCATGTGGCTGCAGTGTGGGAGCAGGGGCAGAGTTGAGGAAATGAGGCCGGAGAGGCCGCAGGAGCCAGGTGATGTGGGGCCTTGCGGGTCCCAGAGTGGGCTGTGGGTTTTAGTCCAAGAATAGTGGATCCTTGTAGGGTTGTAAGTACAGGAGGGACATGTGTGATTCCCTTTTAAGGAGCTTTCTGGTTTGGAAAAGGTGTCTGCTGTTGACTCCCACACAGAGTGGTTGTGAAGAGAAAATGAGAAAACATACAGGAGAGTGATCTGTTGGCCACAGAAGCTGCAGGCAAGTGCTTCCATGGGCACGGAAGGCTCTCTTGGGTCACCATCTGGGCCTGCCTGGGGCTTCCCCTTCTAAGAACTGGTCCTTGTTAGGGAATGTTCTGGGCAGAGGGGCAGCCAAAAGCTCACAGAGCCTCTGTTCTGTAGCTATTCTGGTGTCTTCCATCCACCCTAGAGGCTCCTGCATTGAAATGTGCTTTCCAGAAATACAATCCAGCCCTCGACAAAGACTCATCTTCCCAGCCCTTGGAGTTTACAAACGTGCTGTTTGGTCGTCCTCACAATGTCCTACATCATCTGGTCCCTTCCTCCCCCTGCAAAGGCACTTTTTAAATCCACGCCCTGCTTTTAAAAACTCATTCACGTTATTTCCACTTCACAGGATCCCTCTGTTCGTGGAGTTGCAGCAAGCTCCGCCAGCCTCCGGCCCTTCGCACTTGCTGCTCCCTCGGCCCCATGGCTGTTCTCTCTGTTCTTCATATGGCTGGTGGTTTCTTTTTCAGGTGGCCAGACAAATTCAGGCTGCCTCCCAAGAGAGACCCTCTCTGACTTTGCTTATACAACAAGCCACCCTCCTTGTCACAGCTGACAATCTCTGTTTTATTTTTTCCATCTGTCCCCTTGTTGACTGTCTGTCTTCTCCCACCAGACAGAAGCCTCAAGAGAGCAGGCTCTTGTCTGTCCCTATTGGCCCCTCTAACCGCAGTGCCTGGTACACAGTAGCAGCTCAGTAAAGGTTTGTTGAATGAATGCGTGACCAATTCTGTGTGGTAGGCACTGATTTTCCTGATGAAGAAACAGAAACTTCTTGCCTTTCTGGGTGCCTCCATTTCTGGGAATGAGCCCCTGTCTCCATCCCGCTGCTAACATTCAAAACTGCCAGGCAGCCTCTGGCTGTTCCTCTTGGCGTGTTCCTTGGCCTCTGGCTGGGCATTGGTGATTCCCACCTGGGCAGTGCCTTCCATCCTCAAGATGGTCCCTAGATAGCATTGCACAGAAACCCCACCCCTTTTAATGAAGATCACTAACCTTGTCCTATAGGTGAGGTGATGCTGGGGTGGGCTCAAGGGTCATTTCTGGGTAGGCACACAGGTCTTCTGCCCTCAAATCTGCCCCACATGGGCAAGGCCCCAAATGAGGAGGCAGTGAATCAGAGAACACTGTGTAGGGGGTGAAAGGAGGTCTCAGAGGTGGGGCTGGGACCTGCCCAGAGCTCTGTGCTCCTGGGAACCCTCCCTACAGCTGGCTTGCCCAGCCACCTGGCCCGGGGCTATAGCAGGTAACAACGACCTTCTCTCCTGAGGCTTTCCCCTCAGTTGGAGGAACCCAGGTGAGAGGAGCCAGCACCTAATTTTGAAGGCACCCACTTGGCTCACAGCCTGGCTCACATGGAGCGAGACCCTGGGCCTGACCCCAGGCCCTGCCTGCTCCCTCACTCACCCTTTGCTGGTGAGGAGTGGCCTCCCCGACCCAAGGCTTTCTCAGCCCTTTAGGTGATGGTAGGGATTGGATTTCCCTTGTTCAGGGGCCCCATCAGCAGGGGAGATCCTGCGTTCATTTACAAAGATGTGAGCAGGAAGGAGGCCACGAGTGTGCCTTGGTGAGTATGTGTGTGCGTGACTGTGAGCATGTGTTGTGTGCAACATGACATAGTAAGCATGCACACATGTGTGCCTGGTGTATGCGTGCCTAGGCATGCACAGCGCTGTGTGTGTGTGTTGGGGGGACATTCACACAGTAAGCACATGCAGGTGTGTGCATGCGTGAGACCACAGTGTGTGTGCCTTGGGAGCCAGTGTTTACAGCTTGGGGCTTTCTGGCTACTGCTTTGAGGCCCCATCAAAGGCTTGTGGGGAAGGCAGAGCTCGAGAGAGGGGCTGGAGGAGGCTGTGAGCCAGGCCAGCCTGTTGTCTGACTAGCTGACCCCGTCTGGCTGCCTCAGAGACTGGCTCTGGACCCTGGGTGGCTGCTGCTGTCTGCCTGACCGACTGGCCCTCCCCTACCCGCTGACCCTGACTGGCTGGCTGACTCATCTCGCTGGTAACCTCCTTCACTGGCAAGCCTGCTGTAATCCTAGCTCAGCCTGGGGGGATGAGCTGTTTAAAGCTATGGCTGCTGATTCCCAAGGATGAGGTAGGGAGAGGGGTCTCTAGACTCACAGTTGCGCCAGGGCCTAGAGGGGAAACTTGGTGGGATGTTCTCTTCAGAGCATGGGTGCCGGCCCTCACCTCTAGGGCCCCTGGTCTTTCTTTCCTCAGTTTCTCCCTCTGTGAAATGGTTGTCACGAGTTGGGTGTTTAGCCAAAGAGTCTAAGAAGGGCAGGGTTGGCAGATGCCAGGGCTCAGGAGAGGCTGCCTAATACCCAGAGGCGCAGGCCTGTGCTGGGGCCACCGAGCAGCTGTCCTGCAAGTGCAGGTGGGTGAGAAGGGCCTCAGAGGTAGAGGGCCTGGCTGGGGCCAGGGGAGGAGGATTAGGGGAACCCTGGAGTGCAGGCCCCATGGCCGTCCTTCCACGGGGTGCTGGACTCTGCAGAGATGGTGATGTGGGTCACCACGGTACCATGTGTCTTCCCAGTGAACTCGAGGAGGAAGGCACAATCAGGAAGCGGGGCCGTTTGCTAAAGGAGCTGAGAGCTGGGATCATCAGGGAAGAGTGTGGGGTTTGCAGTCAGGCTTCACCCTGATCTCTGTAACCTTGAGCAGGTCATGCCTACTCCCCTGGTTTCCTTTTCTTTAGGAGGAGATAATAATAGCATCTTTGCTGTATGATTAGAGCACTGGTTCACTCACAGGGACATGTAAAATGTCTAGTACACAGTAGGTGCTCAGTAAGTGTCAATAGTGGGAGTCATTGAGGAAATGATTACCACCTGCTGTTTTCGGTTGAAATGTGGCCTTATGGCCCCCATCCTGCTGGCACCCACAGCTCTGGGCAGCCTGCTGTGCCACTGCTTTGCTGTCTCCTCCTCTGGGCTCCCACCATACCAGCAGTGTGTCCTCCTTCATGGCCCTCCATGCTGGACAGTCATTATCTGCTTAGATCTCTGTCTTCGCTGCAATTCTTAGCCCCTGGAAGGGAGGGCCTATGGGAGGAATGCTTGTGGCTGATTGAATGGTGTCTGTCTGTCTGCTGCATTGAGCAGCGAGTGCTAGGAGAGTGGGGTCCAAGAAAAGGTAATCAACATCTATTCAGTTCTTATTGGATGTTTACACTTTATCTCATTTCTTACTAAAACCTTACAAGGTGAGTATCATACCCTCATTTTGCCGAGAAATTTGAGGCTTATAGAAAAGAAGACTTGTCCAAGGTCACTCCCACCCAGGCAGGAGGAGAGCTGGGATTCCCATTCAGTCTCTGCTTCTAACCACTGTGCCAATCTGATCTAAGGCAAAGAAGGGAGACATGGCCCTCCTACACATCTGAGAGCCACTTGAGAGGATGCCTCTGTGTGAGAGGCACTCATGTGTCCCTGCTGGTAAGGGACCTTGATCCTCTGAGCCTGCAGTGTGGAAGAGACTTGGGGGGTCCCTGGAATCTAGGTCTCAGACATAGGGTTCTTGCTAGCAGCAGGAGTGCATGTTTTAGGGTAGTTGAGGAGTGGGGCAGGTGTACCCCACGTTCCCTGCTCTGGTTGCCTCTATTCTAGCTTCAGGCTGTTTCTGATGTGCACTTCTCCTGTGTGTAATGTCCTCTTCACAAGCGTGACTCCCAGGTGCACCTTTGTGCTTTGTTGTGTGCTGGTGCCCACGTAAGCCTGTGTGTGCACCTGCTGGGAGCTTGCACAAACTGCCCTTCTGTGTGGGCATGAGTTCTGACTATGCATCTGAGTGTCTGTCTCCGTGTTGGGTTTGCAGGTTTTGGGGGGATGTATGTGGTGGTGTGGGGAACTGGAGTGGGCTGAGATGTATGCTGAGAAGCTCACCAGAGGGTATGTATGGGAACTGGAGCCTCCAGCAATCACTGTCTTAGACTCACCTCAAGGTCTCTGTGTCTTGGATTGAAGCATGAAGGTCAATGCTTTCCTTGTTTCTACCTTAAAACATTCCTGGCACAGCCCTTCATAGTTAGAGAGTTCTCAGTTCAAATCTCAGTTTCCCCAACTGTGGTGTGGGAGGCTGGTGAATTACCCACTTTCCTGGGCCCTGGTTTCCTCTGTGAGATGAGGATAGTCAGGCTGCTGTGTGGCTTGCAGAGGACACCTGTGTGCCCAGCACAGAGGAAGCTCTTTGAGCTGAGCATGCTATAAAAAAAAGTCTTGTCACACCATGTGCTGGCCCACTCGCTTTCCCACATGTGTGCAAACAGGGGATGTTTCCTTGACATTTTTGCAAGACAGTCTTCTTGCTTCCTCTCCATGCCTGCCCTTTTCCCTGGCACCAGCCTAATACAGAAGAGGTGAGACCCTGTCAATCCTGCAAAGAACTTCATGCCTTTGCATTAGGAAAACAGTGCTTGAGTGGGCTTTCTCTATTTTGCCCTGAGAGGGATGGTGCTGATTTTTCGTCCTCCATGAAAGGAAGACTTGACATTGAGTTCTTAAGTGAAAGAAGGAGGCATCTACTGTTTTAAAATGAATGGGATACACCGACTTTTAGAAGCCATAGGCTTGAAAATCTAAGTTGTGACTTTGTTTTGCCTTCTTTTGGCCTTCTCAGGCAAGGTCCACCTGGTGGTGGAGTTAAGATATTGCAACCCAGCTCTATTCTATCTTGTTAAATACCTGAAGAAAAGACGCAAATTAAAACTTCTCCAACTCTTGTTTTATCACATCTGTTATCTGTAAAACACCTATAACTAGCTTGTTAAAGCTATTTTAATTTCAGTATAGTGAATCACTAATTTTTAGTTGCTGAGGTTGGCATTTTAGTGATTATTAAGCATTTCTGTCAGTCTTTGAAAAAAAAACATATGTTTTATGCTTTGAAGATCTCTGAAGACTTTCCTTTAAAAAAGAATGGGCATGTATTGTAATTGTTTTATGTCAAAGGATATGTTCTGTAGAAAAAAAAATCACCTTTGTTCGAAAAAGAAATGGATAAATTTGGCCTTTCTGAGTGGTAAGAACGACCTGTCACTATAATATACTATATGTTTACATTTTATTTTAATTTAATCTCTTATGTACAGGGTGATAACCTTCCCCCCAAACAACAGTGATTGCAATTGTTTTCTAGAAACTTCTTTAAAATGCCACATTTGGCAGTACAAATGAGTTTGAATGTAATAGTCCAGAGATTTATATATAATTGGATGTCCTAAAATGGAAAAATGTGTCATTGTGTCAAGTTACAGTGGCTTAAGTTTTTCAGAGTAATTCCAATGAAGTTCCTAATTTTGACAGTAAATGTCATTTAATAGTGTACTTGCCATTTGTGCCTCACTGCAAAATTAGTGCAGAGGATAAAATAATGTTTAATGTAATCTTGGTTTTACCTTGTATGTTGTACATTCCCAAAACTCTACACCTTTTAAAGATCACAGATACATTACCAAACATATCACCTTAAAATTGTTTAAGGTTGAGGCCGGATGAGGTGGCTCACGCCTGTAATCCTAGCACTTTTGAGAGGCTGAGGTGGGCGGATCACCTGAGGTCAGGAGTTCGAGACCAGCCTGGCCAACATGGTGAAACCCCATCTCTATTAAAATACAAACATTAGCCGGGCATGGTGGTGCATGCCCGTAATCCCAGCTACTTGGGAGGCTGAGGCAGGAGAATCGCTTGAACCTGGGAGACGGAGGTTGCAGTGAGCCGAGATCACGCCACTGTACTCTAGCCTGGGTGACAGAGCGAGACTCCTTCTCAAAAAAACAAACAAACAAACAAACAAAACAAAAAAACAAAAATTCATGGAAAATAAAAGTTGTATCATTCTTTTTTGAGGAAAAATTAAAAAGAAAAACATGCTTAAAGCTGAATGTGGTGGCTCGTGCCTATAATCCCAGCTACTCAAGAGCTAAGGTGGGAAGAATGCTTGAGTCCAGGAGTTCAAAGCCAGCCTGGGCAACATCGTGTGACTCTTGTCTCTAAAAACATTTTTAAAAAATGCTTATGGAGTGCCCCAAGCATTACACTGGGTTTGTTGCCAGGACGACCTTCCTTGTGTTCTCTGGTCAGACAGCAACCTCATTTCACAGTGCCGGCCTGCTCTGGGTTACTTGCTCTTAGGAGACAGAGCCAGGATTTAAATCTTGGTGTCCCAACTCCAAGTCATCTCCCTGAAGAAAGCTATTTTTCAAGCATTTTATAGAAATGGGATTCTATTTTTAGTTGCATTTGATTTGGAAGCCAAATGGGTAAGAAAGTTAGAGTGAAGATGCACTGGCTGCGTGAGTGGTGGGGGGCCTGGAGACCCCTGCCTGGGTCCCCTCATTCCCTGCGGTGGCCTATGAGACCTGATGTAGAATCTTAGGACTTCAAAGAACTAGAAAAGCTGGAAAACCATGTGGTCACAGCCTCCAACTCCATAAGAAAGACCTGGCTCTGAGGCTTGGGTGAGGGGGCAGCCCAGAAACCCCTGGGGAAGTATAAAGATGAAAGACAGAAGGGGGGCCGGGCGCGGTGGCTCACGCGCACTTTTGGGAGGCCGAGGCGGTTGGATCACGAGGTCAGGAGATCGAGACCATCCTGGCTAACACGGTGAAACCCCATCTCTACTAAAAATACAAAAAAATTAGCCGGGCTTGGTGGTGGGCGCCTGTAGTCCCTGCTACACGGGAGGCTGAGGCAGGAGAATGGCGTGAACCCAGGAGGTGGAGCTTGCAGTGAGCCGAGATCGTGCCACTGCACTCCAGCCTGGGCAACAGAGCAAGACTCCATCTCAAAAAAAAAAAAAAAAAAAGACAGGAGGGGTGAGAAATGCTAGCTACAGCTGCCCTCCATGCAGGAATGTAAGGGTGGGCAGCTGACGGCGCCCTGTCTGCCCCAGGACCCATTAGGACGCTCCCTTACGTTGGCAAAATTTCCCGGTCTATGTTTCCGTCTTTTGCAACCATTTCTTGGGGAACACATCTCTGATTTCTAGATAAATGTTGCAACAAAAATAGGACTCTACCACCCAGAAGAATCTTTGAGGTATATCACAGTTTAAAAAATACATTTACAAAATTGTTTTCTAACAGCCTTACCATCACGAGCTGTAATTACCTTGCTTATTTGCTTATTTTTAACTATTATCTCCCTCTCTGACTAGACTGCAAGTTGCATGGAAGCTGGGACCTTCTCTGTTTGGTTCAATGTAGCATCCCAGTGTCCGGCCCCGTGGCTTGGTAACACTGGGGAGGCTGACCCAACCAACAGGGAGCATCATGTACATTTTACAGATACGGAAACCAAGGCTCAGAGGGGGTGGGGGTTGCCCATGGCCAAGCAGCTGGTAGACAGCCAAGTCACCATTTGGACCCAGCTCCCAGCTTTATTGTTAGCTGTGGAGCAACAATGAACTGAATGAATTTATTCACCACGCCCATCCAGCTGAGTAGAGATGGAAATTGCTCAGGCTCTGGCAAAGGTCTTGCACAGTACGCCCCGAATCCATCTTCCAGCCTTCTGGTCCAGCTCCTTTCTGTCTGAAAGCCACCAGTCTGTCTGCAGAATGGGGACACAAAGACAGGGAGATCTCTCTGGGGCCTGGGGAGGATTAATCAGCAATTAGTGTGCAAAACACTTTCCAGACAAATGTTAAGTATTATTAGTATTTAAATTTAGTTTCATCTTCCCCTGCAGCCTGAAGACAAAAGGGAACAGATGGCCTTGGCTCCAGGTGAAGAGGGGAGGGCGGGAAGGTTTCAAGGCTCCAGTTTCCAATTAGCCCCTGCTGCCTGCTGCGGGGAGCCGTGCAGAGACGCCCCGTGGGGTTGCCCCGAGGCCTTTCTTCAGAGCTAAGTGAAGGTCAGGGGGAAGCACAGCTTGGGGTCTGAATTTCCCTTCCTAGCCCTGTGACCTTGACCAGGTCACAGCTCCTCTCAGAGCCTCAGGTCAGTGAGACCACCTTGCAGGTGTGGAGAAGGGAGTGAATGAGACCAGTGGTGACCAAGCCTTGGCCCCGTGCTTCCTTTCCCCCTGACTCCTTTGGGATACCCAAGTTAGGGTCTAGTTTCTTCTAGAGAGGTTTTCTTGAGAACTGAAACTGCCCTGGGATGTGGCATCTTGCAGCTCTGAACTGAACACAGCTTCGGCTGCACCACTTGTGCCACTGCCTGCACTCTGGGCCTCATGTTCTTTATCTGTAAAGTGGGTGTGACATTGGCACTTGCTCTGCCTGCCTTGCAGGGCAAGGATCAGCTGGGACGATGGCTGCTGGAGCTTCATAGACTGTAAAGGGAGGCATGGATTGAGAATGATTACTACTGTTTTTATCCTGTTTTCTGTGCCAAGGCCTCTATCTTTTGGACAGAGGACGGGGTAGTTGAAGACGGAATGCTTATGCAAAACCCTTGTGTAACCCACCCTGGCTGAACCTCAATTCTGGGCTTCCCCAGAAAGAGGGCCCCTCTTTCCAGATGACTTGCAGCTGGTTGGACAAACACCTGGTGAGAATAGCAACATCTCGCCACCCCGCTGGAGAACCTGCCTGAGACAATGGGACAACCCCAGGAGAGTAGAGCTGAGGGGTGCAGGCAGCTGGCTCCCTGTGGACTTGAGTAAGAGCCTCGTTCCAGTCACCTGAGTGACCAGGAGCACGAACCAGTGCTTCACCTTATTCTTTTTACTTAAGTCAGTTGAGATTTTATTTTATTTTATTTTATTTATTTATTTTGAGACGGAGTCTCGCTCTGTCGCCCAGGCTGGAGTGCAGTGGCACGATCTCGGCTCACTGCAAGCTCCGCCTCCCGGGTTCATGCCATTCTCCTGCCTCAGCCTCCCAAGTAGCTGGGACCACAGGTGCCCGCCACCACGCCCAGCTAATTTTTTGTATTTTTAGTAGAGACGGGGTTTCACCGTGTTAGCCAGGATGGTTTCGATCTCCTGACCTCGTGATCTGCCCGCCTTGGCCTCCCAAAGTGCTGGAATTACAGGCGTGAGCCACCGCGCCTGGCCTAGTCAGTTGAGATTTTAAAAGCCATTTGCGGCTGGGCGCGGTGACTCATGCCTGTAATCCCAGCATGTTGTGAGGCTGAGGCAGATGGATCACTTGAGGTCAGGAGTTTGAGACCAGCCCGGCCAACATGGGGAAACCCCATCTCTACTAAAAATATGAAACTTAGCTAGGCGTGATGGTGCACACCTGTAGTCCCAGTTACTCAGGAGGCTGAGGCAGGAGAATCACTTGAACCCGGGATGTGGAGGCTGCAGTGAACCAAGATCACACCACTGCACTCCAGCCTGGGCGACAGAGCGAGATCCTGTCTCAAAAAAAAAAAAAAAAAAAAAAAAAAAAGTAAATAAATAAATAAATAAATAAAAACCACTTACAACAAAGACTTCTCTTACTAACTCACTTAAATAAATAATTTGATTTCAACAAAAACTTTGATTTCAGCACTGGGAAGAGCTCAGCTGTGAGCATCTGGAAATAAGGTGCAGATGGTTGGATTCCATTTGCTAATATTTTGTGAGGATTTTTGCATCCGTGTTCATGAGGGATATTGGCCTGTGGTTTTCTTGTAATACCTTTGTCTGGTTTCTGTATCAAGCTAATTTACCTGGCCTCTTAAAATGATTTGGGAAGGTTCCCTCCTATTTTCTAGAAATATTTTGTGTAGAATTGGTATTATTTCTTCCTTAAATATTTGGTAGAATTTACCAGTGAGGCATGATTCAGATTTTTGATGCTATAAATTACTTTTTTAAAAAGGGAGCTGTTTTGCTGACTATTCCTGTCTTATGCATTGATTGAACTATTTCTCAATGTTGTGTTTTCCAACCTTTTTCTTGTTTTAGCTGCTCCAGGCTCCGGTAACTGTAATATGATCTAAACGTATGTGATGGTGTGGCAGTTTTTACTTTTTCAAAAAAAATCAACACATTGTTTGCAATCTGTTTAAGATAAATTAACAAAATACCATGAACTTCAAACATATCTTAAAATTGATGTATCCTGCTTGCCTTCACAGCCTCAGCTCCCTCTCTTTGCCATGTCCCCATCAACCCTGTGGTCCTGCCCCCTGGCCTTTGCCCCTCCTGTTGTCCCTCTCTGGAGCACTCTTCCCCGACCCTGTCCTGGCTTGCTCCACTGGGATTTTGCTTCCACAAAACTTTCGTTTGTTTGTTTTTTGTTTGTTTGTTTGTTTTTGAGACAGGATCTCGCTCTGTCGCCCAGGCTGGAGTGCAGTGGTGCGATCTCAGCTCACTGCAACCTCCGTCTCCCAGGTTCAAGCGATTCTCCTGCCTCAGCCTCCTGAGTAGCTGGGACTACAGACTCCCGCCATGATGCCTGGCTAATTTTTTGTATTTTTAGTAGAGACCAGGTTTCACCGTGTTAGCCAGGATGGTCTTGATGTCTCCTGACCTCGTGATCTGTCCACTTCGGCCTGCCAAAGTGCTGGGATTACAGGCTTGAGCCACCACACCCAGCTCCACAAAACTTTTCTGCATTTCCCAGGCTGGCCTAGGTTTAAGGTGACTCCCCCTGCTACCCCGCCCACTGTGCTTCCTCCCACCCAAGCATGAATTGCGTTACGTTGAAGTTGTCCATGTCTGTCTCTTTCCCAGACTGTGAGGTCCTTGAGGGCAGACTCTGCGTCTACTTAGTCCATTGTTAGATTCCAGCTCTGAGTGCAGAGCCTGGCACCCGGGCCCTGGATAAACACTTGCTGAGTGAATGGACATTTCTGTGACCAGGGTCACAGCAGTAGTACCTGCCTGTATCTACACATCTCTGGACCGTTTCTGAGCAGTTTTCGCATGCAGGGTTTCATTTGAATCTTCACAGTAATTCTGTGCAGTTGGTGTCATTACCCCATTTTACATTTGTGGACATCAAGGTCCAGAGACACGTAGGAACTTGCCAAGCTACATCAGTGGCAGAGCTGGCATCCAGAGGCAGGCCTTCCTGACTTCAAATCCAGGGATTCCCTGTGCATCTCAGTTACATGCCAAGATGCCGTTGGTTTGGGAAACGTAGGATTTACCCTGAAGCAAAATCTTGCGCTAAAACAGCAGCCAGAGAGGATGTTTCAGGGAGGAACGCTGAGCCCATGGGGGCTGGAGCCATGCATGGAAACTAAGTGCCCTGCAGGAACCTGGGCCTCCAGGTTAGATGGGTCCCCAGCTCACCAGGAAAGGGGATGTGAGGGAGGAAAACCAGAGGCAGGCAACAGAAGGTAGGTAGCAGCCGAGCCTGCGGTCTGGGCAAAGTTTTCAAAGAAGGGGCCTGGCTATGGCAGGAAGGGGCGGAGAGAGTCCCCTCCGTCTGGGGACTGACTGATTTTGGCTGTGGAATCCCTCTCCAGCCTCCCATCCCCACCCCAGATCCTAACTGCTAAATTCTTCCAAACCATACCTGCCCAGTGGATGTGTCAAACAGTGTTTCTCAAAGAGTCCTGGAGTGGGATCTAGGCTTTGGGCTGGAGCCTTTGACCTATTGCATACCAGGCCCCCCCATTTCCATTTGCCTGGCTAACTTTCTTCCTCTGGTCTCAGCTTAGATGTCTGCTCCTTCAGAAAGCTTTTCTTGACTTTCCAACTTGGAAACGAGTCCCCTGTGTCCCTTGTACAGCCCCCCATGCTTCTTTGTATTACAGACTTGAGCACCCTAGAGGCCTTCTGTGCGTTTGTGTTTCTTCACCACGAGTTCTCTGGGGTCAGGGACTGTACTCTCTTCATCTCTGTATCCCAAGCAGCCAGCCCTTCTCATCTGCAAAATCAGGGTGGCAATTCCTAATCACAAGGTAGATTATGAAGCCTCCGTAACAAAAGAGATTTCAAAAAATCCCAAAGCTTTGTGGAGGCCATGCAATGCAGATTAATCCTTTTTTCTTTTCCTTTCTTTTCTTTTCTCTTTTTTTTTTGAGATGGAGTTTCACTTTTGTCATCTAGGCTGGAGCACGGTGGCGCGATCTCAGCTCATTGCAACATCCGCCTGCTGGGTTCAAGTGATTCTCCTGCCTCAGCCTCCCGAGTAGCTGGGATTATAGGTGCCTGCCACTATGCCTAGCTAATTTTTGTATTTGTAGTAGAGACGGGGTTTTACCATGTTGGCCAGCTTGGTCTTGAACTTCTGACCTCAGGTAGATCTGCCCACCTCGGCCTCCCGAAGTGCTGGGATCACAGGCATGAGCCACCACGCCCAGCCTAATCCTTTTTTCTTAGCTCACATTAAAGAGGCAAGCAGAGTGCTAAGGGCTTCATGTGTGGGGCCTGCCTGGGTCCTCTCCATGCATGTTCCCTTCTTTTGGTCTGAGCATCAGATTCAGGAAGAGGTGCTTTCTTGGAAGGCACATAGGGGCCCAGTCTTGACCCCTGAGATTCCTGCCCTCTCCAATTTTAACCTCAAACCTGCTGGGTTTGGAAGATTCCTTGGAAGGGGAGGTTTGATTCTACTTTCTTTGGCAGACAATCTCCCTACTGCCTTGGGTCCCCAAGCTTGTCTGGCATTTACAAAAGAACATAACTGAAAGCGTCACAGGCCCGTTAAGGAGACAATTATAGGCAAAAGAACAGCAGAAGCAGCAGTTTCCAACGCCCATGTTTCTGGTTGTGAAGGCAGGCAGCCCAGCCTGGCAGAAAGAACCCACACTCATCACACGGAGCTGGTTTGGCTCTCAGCACTGTGTGCAACCTCAGGTAAGTCAGGTCATCTCTCTGAGCTTCAACTTTCTTTTCCAGAAATGGGGCCTTCAAGACTTAACTCTCTGTGTTGTTGCAAGCATGGTGCTCAATGAGCTTTCATGGTCTTCTCCATTCCTCATGGCACTGAGCACAGGGCCAGGCACATAGGAAATGAGGAGCTGTGACTGGTTGATGATTAACTACCCCCATCTCCTGCTGTCAGACATGGAGACTATGCTCAAAATTACAGCTTTATCTCCTGTACCACTTTCAGGGCCAGGAACCTTTTTGGTGGCTAGGACATATTTGCTAAAGGAATGAATAAATCCCAGATGGTGGAAATAATAGGAGCACAGACAAGAGACATGGAGGGCAGAGCCAGCAGAGTCCTAGGGTAGACCAGGGAAGAGCTGGACCTCTTTAGAACAGTGTCAGAAGTGGATAAGTTGCCTTGGCATAACTCGTGCCCCCAGCTTAGAAGGCCCTTTCTCTTTCAATGTCTGACATACCTATTTCTCTCTTAAACCCCAACTCAAATGTCGCCCATCTCCTCACTAGCTTTGTTTGATCCTCTCGGCAGAATCAGTTGCCTCTGCCTCTGTGCTGCTTTGGAATTCTCTGCATGCCTCCGTTAGGCATGTTTAATCCCATGTCATAGTTCTTGGTTGACCTATCTGACCTCCTGCTGAGCTGTGGGTATCTTGAGGGCAGGGGCCATGCCTGGCCTCTCTTGGGATATCTGCGGGACCAGGGCTGGGCAGCTGGTAGGCTTTGTACATGCTCTGCCCCAATAGCAGACTATGGTTTGTTGAATCATAGTCAATGTTCTGCTCAGAGCCCATAACAGAGACACTTGCATCAGACACTTTTCCCCTCTCAGCAGCCAAGTCAAAGCCCAGGGAGAAGATGGGCCCTGTTGGTTCTCACCTGCGTCAGGGCAGGAGGGAGCAGCTTTTGGCCTTGGGAATGGAGCCTGAATGGGGTGACTGAGTAGACGGGCCCTGGGAGCCAGGAAGCAAATCTGGGTTCCAGTTCTCTCTGCGGCTGACTGGCCTTGAGCAAGTCCCTTCCCCTCTCTGAGCTACGATTTCCCCTTCTGTGACTTGAGCAGTGGGGAGAGAAGGGAGGGAGCTGGAGAGAGCGAATGCTCTTCCTACTTCTAACATTCTGCCCATGTATTTCCAGGGTTTCTGGGAGACTGACAGACACACGTAAACACTGATGCATACTTACACCCACACACATGCACACAGGAACAAATAGATTCAGATGTACCGAGACACACACACACACACAGAGGCAAGCTGACATCAGCACACTGGCTTTCACAGACACAGAGACGCACTTATGCCTAAATGTCACGCCTGCATAGGATATGGAGACACTCAGCTGCCATGAGCACACACGCGCACCCCCAGCCATGCTCACAATCGCACTGACACAACTGTGTGAGCACGAACACACGCACGTTTCCCTTGGGCTCTAAGGCCCCTTCCAGTTGGTAAAATCGAGGCTTGTTTGGAGCAGACCCACCTGCTTCCCTTGGCAGGTGACATGTTCCCTGCTCTCCTTCCCAGATCTGGGCTTCTTGGCTGAGCTGTGAGCAGGGTGAACGCTGCCCCCAGCCCACAGGGGTGAGGATCTGGAGGGAGACTCATCTCCCAGGTTACTGCCTGCGGATGCTGCTTTAAAAATAGCTTCCTGCTGTTTCCAGGAAAGCTCTGGGGAGTGAGGACTCCAGAGACTGGATTGTGCTCATCCCTTGCCTGCCTGCAGAGCTATGTATGAGGGTCCCTCGAAGAGACCACCAGAGTCCTTGTTAGTGCCGCATGGCCTGTGGCAAAGAGGAAGAGGCTAAGGGTGGCTGGACAGCTGGGGGTGGGGTGCTTCACCCCTAAAACTCCCCCTCCTAAAGGAGGGCTGCCTCGCTTCACTCTCCTCTGTGGGGGCATCACGCACCTCCGGGGGCGGGGAAGGAGACAGGCATGATGGTTCATACCTGGGCTCTGCTGCTCCCTGGCTGTGTAACCCTGGGCAAGTTGCTTCATGTCTGAGCATCAATGATTTCAGCTGAAAAATGGGGCTAATCATCTCTTCCTCTCTCATGAGTTGTGAAAATTCAGCCACAAAAGATGCCATCATTTCCCTCTTGCTGGGCTGTGCTCCCCCGGGGGCAGGGAACCAGGGCAGCTCTGTGGCGGCAGTGCCCTCCCTGCCTGTCCCTCTGCCCACACTGCCCTTCATGTGCCCTTCCAGCTCTCACTGCTTCTCTTCTGGATCACCTGGCACCACACAGTTCTGTTTTCAGAACCCCAGAGAGCACGGAGGGCCGCAGCCACGCTGGTGGATGAGAGAGACCGCTAGGCAGTGACCTGTGACTGGCTTCCACCAACAGCAGAAGGTTCAGCGGCTCTGATGGTGCAGAAATTGGCTTCAGTGAGGCCCTGGGAGGGAGGGAGGACCTGGTGGCTGGTGGGGCCCACTGACAAGTGTGTCATCAGCTTACCCCGCATCCTTGTGAATTCTGTGGCCCCAGCTAGGTCTGCGTGAGAGTCCTGGGCAGGCACTGCCTGAGTAGTAAGGGTCAGGACCGCATCTCTGGCTTTGTGTCTTCCTAACTGTGTGATCTTGGGCACAAGTTAAAGTCTCTCAGTTTCTTCATTTGTGCAGTGGGTCTTCTGCTCTCCACATTACAGGGTCATATCAGGGCAGACAAGGGGTAGAGGATGCTTTGTGACTCTGTGTGGCCGGAAGTTTTATTCCCCACTCAGATGGAGATATAGGGGTGCAGAGACTTAGATTGATGGAATCCTTAGGTAGGAAGCAGAGGCTCAGAGAGGGCAAGTGGCTTCTCCAAAAGACCCAGCAGAAGTCCGAGGGAAGGTGGAGCTCGAGGCCCACCTAGTCCCCTCCATCTTTTAGCAAAGAGTGACAGCAGGAACTGGGGTCAGGTGTGGCTCTGGATGACTGTCCTGGCAAGGGGGCCCTTCCTGGGGGAGCGGGGCCTTCTTCCCGAGGTGAGCTTCTGCGCGACCCCAGGGAGGGAGCATGGCTGAGCAGGTGGGCCTGGTCCAGTGCCCTCTCTGCAGCTTATTTACCAGCTGGTTTCAGACAATTGCTGGCCTCGCTGAGCCGCAGTTTCCTCCCCAGAAGTTGGGGACGGTAATGCCTCCCTTGCAGGGCTGTTGTAAAAATCAAACGCAAAAAGCCTTAAGGCTGCCTATGGAGAGATCTGTGGGAAATGCACTTCTCAGGTCCAAGATGTTGGGGTCTGCATCCGCTTCAGTGGCTGCCCTTCACCTGACGTGGTGGGGAGAGGCCTATTCCCAGGGTCCTTTGTGGATTGAGGGCCAATAATGGGGACAGGGAGATGGTGAGGTGGGAGAGGCCCAGTCAGGTGTGTTTGCGGGGAGTGCGTCTGGCTCCAGTGGTTAGTTTCCTCCCCCAGACCTCACTTCTCCACCTGTCAGATGGGGGAGGCATCCCCCATGGCCATGAATCACAGCCTCTCTAGGAACAGAAGGCACAGACAGAAGCTGCCTCACACCTGTGGGTTTGGTGGGCTGGTTTGCTCAGGCTCTGGAGCCTCGAAATATGCACGGGGCAGAAATTGCCTGAGTGTGCAGAGGCAGGTGTGAATATCTGACATGAGCAAGGCAAAGTATTTAGAAGAGGAAGACGCTGTGGGGGCTATCTAGGTCACTGAGGCTCAGAGAGGGACAGCGCCTCACCCAAGGCCACAGAGAAAAATAGTGTTTGAGCCAAAACTCAAACACTGTTCAGCCCATAGTTGAGGAATCTTCTAGTTGGAAGAGGCTGAGGTCATTTGGTCTAACTTTCCACCTAAGAGTCCCTGTTTACACGCTTCCAGGAATGAGGAGCTCACTAGCTTATACGGCAGTCTATTTGTTTTGCAATAGCTCTGGTCTCTAAATATTTCTCTTTCATATTGAGCTAAAAAATCTATTCCCAATCACTTCTACTCTCTACCCTCTAACGTGCGTTGCTTCCACATACAGATGCTGGGTAATAGAGAGCACATGCCCCCGAGTCTTCTTTCGTCCAGACCATCATTCTGTAGCTCGCTGTTCCAATAGAACAGTTTCCAGACCCTCACCCTCTTAGTCCATGAAGGGACCACCACACTTTCTCAGGACCCAGATCCGGATTTCCAGAGAATAAATCGTGAAACTCCCAGAGGCTGCCTCAGTGAGGATGTGCAATAGATATTAGGTATTTTTTATCAGTGAAGACAAAATTGACTCAGAAGTAAATGGTGAATTTTTAAAGGTCTTTTCAATTCATGATTTTCATGTGAGGCAGTTAATCTAAAAGCAAATAAAAGCATCCGAATACCAGAAAAACATATGCAGTGAAGTGTATTTTTTGGAGAGTAAGTCTGACTCTACTAAATTATCCAGGAGTTATACCTAAAATAGACTCCACTGACTGTAAACTCCTTGGGGGCAGAGTCTGGGTCTTTCTATCACCCTCGATAGGCAGGGCTGGCCAGGGCACGCAGGAGGCAGATGGGTCTATGAATGAATAGTTGCAGTTGGTTTTTTTGTAAATGTGCACAAGGTCAAGTGCATCTCCCTGCTGGTTCATCTCTTGGACTTTATTTATTTATTTATTTATTGAGACGGAGTCTCACTGTCACTCAGGCTGGAGTGCAGTGGCGTGATCTCAGCTCACTGCAACCTCTGCCTCCTGTGTTCAAGCGATTCTCCTGCCTCAGCCTCCGGAGTAGCTGGATTACAGGTGCTCGGCACTGACCACCACACCCAGCTAATTTTGTATTTTTAGTAGAGACAGGGTTTTGCCATATTGGCTAGGCTGGTCTCGAACTCCTGACCTCAGGTGATCCAACCACCCCGGCCTCCCACAGTGCTGGGATTACAGGCGTGAGGGACTGCACCCGGCCATCATCTCTTGGACTTTAAAGGTATGTTGAAGAGGCCTGGGTATGAAACCATAATATGGGTGTCAGATGCTGGAAAGAAGAGGGGCCACTCTGCATTGCCCTCAGCTGCTGTAGAAAAGCAATCAAGCAACAATTTCCCTTATTTTAGAAAGGGTATCCCCATTTCCTCTGGGGAAGCTGCTCCTCCCCCAGTCACCTTCAGTGAGGTTTAGTTGAGGGTGAGGCCCCAGCCTGTTCTCCCATAGAGGGCACATGACCACGGTTTAGGCCAATCAGTGTAGTCCACCCTCTGGCTAGAGTGATTGGTGCAGGGAAGGGCATGTGACCCAAAAGGGGCCAATGAGACTCAGTTCTGGAACTTTTGATGGGGCTGTTGGAGTCTCCTGTTGCTGCAGCTGCTGAGCTGTGGGGATGTAAGTCTGGAGCAGCAGAAACCACCCTGTGACGAGAGCTGGCCTGGACACAGAGGAAAGCTGAGCCAAGACAGGGAGAGAGAATGAGGTTTACTCTCCTCATTCGAGCTGCGTGATCCAACTGTAGGGGAAAGCAGCATCCCTAGAGCTTCTCATTACACACACCAAACACATTCCCCCTTTTGCTGAAGTCACTTTAAGTTGGATTTTGCTCACTTGCAACTGAGTGTGTTGACCAGCTCAAGAATACAAGTAGTAAGTTTTCTCTTCAGTTTTGAGGGAGTGGGTGTTGGGAAGCCCTCCCTGTCCAAGCTTCCCTGGGAACCTGGGTTGGCCTAGGCATTGGTGGGTCCTCTCTCCCCACCCTGAGCAGGGTAGAGGGGCCAGTAGGGGCCCCAAAGCAAGTGCCATCCTGGGAGATTCCTTTCTTCGTCTCCTTCCCACATCCAATCAGCCACCAAATCCAACCCATTCACCCGCCACAAACATCTCTCCAGCCCAGTTGAGGGTCCGTCTGATTCCTGCTGGCCTATCGCTTTTGCTTGGGAACATCTGCTTCCAGTTTGATTCTCATAGAGATCTTTCTTAAACACTAGCCCCACCCCAGGTATGCTCATGCTGTGGCCATGACCAAAGCGTGGAGTCCTTTCGCACTGGGAATAGCATTCAAGGCCTTCGAACATCTGGCCCAGCCTTGCGCTCCTGCCCTACCTTTTGTCCATCCCCTTGTATTCAAACAACCTGGACTCCTCCTTAGAATGCTCTCATGTGGTCCCATCTTTGCATCTGTCTACACTATCTGAAATTCCCCATTTCTTACCAGGCTCAGCTCAAAGGTCCGTCTTCTGAGAAGCTCACCTCACCCATACTATCCTACCCACTCAGTCAGTGGCGCCCACCCTGGGTTCTTGCAGTGCCCTTCACACACCTTTATCGCAGCCCTCTAACCTCGTGGTGCCGCTAGTCAGTGCTCCCACCCTGTCTGCACCAAGCCCTGTGCATCCCTGAGTCTCAGCCCAGCCCACACCACTGGCACAAGCATCCGATCTGCTGAATTCCTGCCCAAGAAATTGCTTAGTGCCCCACCCCAGTTACCAGGCTTTTTTTTTTTTTTTTTTTTTTGCACTTATTCATTTAAAACCACTTCCAGGGGAAACCAGAGAGTCAATTACTCCACCTCCGCCTGGTCCAGGAGGAGCAACTGTGGCAAGTCCAGCAGGGTCACCCTCTCTAGCTGCTGGGAGCTGAGATTTCCACTCCAGCTTCTTTGGCTGCCTTGGGGAAATCAACGGAGTTTCCAGGAGTGTGATGGGAATGGTCAAGCTATCTCCCGCCCAGCAATAAAACCAGATGTGGAAGCAGATGGTGGTGACCAGGAGAGCATTCAAGCTACAGGCAGAGACTCTCGTCCCACTCTCAACCCTTGTCTTAGAATTACTGGACCAGAGGAAAACAGTCCCTTTAACTGAAAGCAGTGGAAGAACAGGGTAAAGTTTTCCTGAACTACAACCCAGGAGATCCCCAGAGACAGAAGCAATCAGATCTCACACTCTGGCTTCTGCCAGCTTGGAAGTTTTTCACTAGAAAAGGAGGGAATAGAGCGAGAGGATGCCATTTCTAAGTATTGTGCCCCATTTTCTTTCCTTTTTTTTTTTCTTTTTGTTTGTTTTTGAGACAGAGTCTCGCTCTGTCGCCAGGCTGGAGTGCAGTGGTGCGATCTTGGCTCACTGAACCTCTGCCTCCTGGGTTCAAGCAATTCTGCCTCAGCCTCCCAAGTAGCTGGGACTACAGGTGCATGCCACCATCCCCAGCTAATTTTTGTATTTTTAGTAGAGACAGGGTTTACCATGTTGGCCAGGATGGTCTTGATCTCCTGACCTCATGATCTGCCTGTCTTGGCCTCCCAAAGTGCTGGGATTACAGGTGCGAGCCACTGTACCCGGTCCAGTTCGCCAAGTTAAAGCTTCTCTGTACCCTAGTTTCTGTGCCCCATTTTCTTTAACCCTGTTTTCTTATCCTCCACCATCACTCAAGCCATCAGATGCTATCCCAGTTCCTCAGAGGAGGGAATGGGGGCTCAGAGGGGTGAGATCATTAGCTAAATTCACACACTGGTGAGTGGCAAACAGAAATGCCAATCTGGTCTGAATGATCTCCTCGCCTCCATCACAGCCAGGCCAGTGAGGTGGAAAAAGTTTCACGGTCGGTTGGACACACCTGCTGGAATCCTGATCCTTCACTTCCCAGCTGAGTGGATGATGTAAAACCACGGATCCTCTTTGATGCTCAATTTCTTCCTCTGTGCAACGGGAATGTCAATCTCAGCCTTCCGAGTTGTTGTGTGAGAACAAGGTGGTAGACACTTTCTAGTGGGTCTGGTGCGTAGTAGGAGCACAATGAAGGTGCTGGCTCTCATGGCTTCTCTTTCTCCTGCCCTCCTCTTGACTTTCAGGTCCCCTGCTTGGCCTGTTTCACTGCCAAGTTCTAGGTCATTTGAAACTGCAGAGGCCAGACCTTGGCCTTTAGGTCTCACTGATCCTGTGGCCTTGGGCAAGTCCATTTGCCTTTCTGGGCCTTGGTTTCCTCCTTTGGGAAATGAGAGAGACTTGGGCAGGGTCCCTGGTCCCCAGCCTGGGGCTCTTCTATCTCTGGGGTTAGAAGAAGGGAGGGCACTTTCTGGCAGCAAGGCCGGCCTGCCTAACAATATTGCTTGCTATATTTCTTAGCTTTGGGTTGGAATGACATCACCTCACCTCGTGGCTTACCTCTTGCTGATCAAAGCTCTGACTGGCAGTTAAGTGTCTTTGATTAATAAAAAATGGGGAAAATGAATTAATCATGACTTAAATGCAGCATGTTTGGGAAACAGAATCTTTAAAAAGTCAAATCCACTGAAGTCAAGAGGGAAAGAAAAAAAGGCGTCCTTGAGGGTGAAAGGTTGGGGACCCCTGGAGTGGATGTCCATAGAGCCCTCCAATTGTGCACAGGGGACCTGTATGGCTGGCAGGGGGCCTGTGGGTGTTGGGGACAGGAGGATCGGTCCCTTTAAGGATCCTCTCCTCCCCAGCAAGCCCCAGGCCTGTGCGGAGGAGGACATGCATTATTGAAAGCGCATTTCAATACCTATTCAGTCTCCTCCTCCTCCTGTGGGTGGCAATCACAGTTTACATAATCTGTCTCTCTGTCCTCCCAGGCAGCTGCTCCCTTCTGGCTGAGTGGTTTGAGGAGGGGGAGGGAGGGGAGAGGGAGATACATTAACTCTGTGCTGTCACCTCAAGTAGTGGCCAAGCTGCCATAAAATGAAGGAAGGAAAGCAAGCTCTGACATCATCACACAGCCCTGGGTTCAAGTGTCACTTAGGTGCTGTCTGATTTTGGCTCCCCCCACTTTGCTGCCTCCCCTGTAACCTTGATCCACTCCATTATAGTCTCTGTATTAATAGCTCCTAAACCTCTGTTTCCAGCCCAGACCTCTCTCCCGAACTTGGGGTTCATCTATCAACAACTTGAGGGGCAGCTCTGTTTGTGTTTACAGGCAGTTCAGGCTAAGCCCATTCCAAACTGATCTCACCAGTTATCTCTGAACCATTCATCCATCCATCTATCTATTTATTCATCCCTTCATCCACTCATTATCCAACCAATCGTCCATCGTTCATACGCTCCACCACTCACTCATTCATTCACCTACCCTCATCTATCCTACCATCCATGCATTCACCCATCCAGCTGTCTGTTTTCCATCCATCTCACCACTCATCCATCCATCCATCCATCCATCCCTCCATCCATCATTTACTAAGGGTCTGGCATTTGTCAACATTGGGTGTACAGCAACAGGCAAGACAGGCACTGACTTTGTCCTGACGATACTTAAAGTCCTGTGAAGGAGACAGACAAGCAAATAGAATAGTATAATAAACACGAAAAATATGATAATAGGGGAAGCATAAGGTGCTGCTAGAGCACAGGTGAAGCACCCAACACATCCTTAAGGGATTAGAGAAGACTTTTTTTTGAGGAGATGACACCTGAGGGCTAAGAAGGCGTGAGCCTGTTCCTTTCCCTGTGTTTCTTGTCTCCGTTGCTCAAGGAGCTTGATTCGTAACAGCCATTTCCCCTTCTTTTTGTAACTGTGAAATGGCCCCTCTCTGGGAAGATGTTCCCCTTTCCCACTCATGGTCCTTATGGGTTGGGTGGGAGGATCCCATCATTAACGGGTCCGTGTGATAGCGTGGGACCCAGGCCTGGCTATGGGAATGGGTTAGGGCTGAGTCCACTGACGTTCAATCACAGAGCTTTGCTGACACCACTGGAATGGGTGCCCGATTTTCACTGGAGTTGCTCAGCTGATAGGAAGGAGATGGCTGTGTTCCCACTCTGCAAAGGAAGGCCTGCCCAACATGGGGGATGGCAGTGGAGAGATGTAGAAAGATAGAGTGTTGTGGTCACTGTCTGAAGCCCTGGGGCCATGTGTGTCTGACCTAGCAACATCAGACTTTCCCTTTTCCCTTCAGGCCATCTTGAGTTGGGTTTCTGTCACTTAAGTCTAAAGAGCCTCGTTAACGGTAAAGACTCTCATTTACAGTAGGAAGCGTTTCCACATCCTTTGTCTCATTGGTTTGTACAATAGCCCTAGGAGGCTGTTTCCAGATGATGAAATGAAGGCTTAGAGAGTTGAGTCACTGGGCTGAGACCCTGGTCTGTTAGACATCAAAGTCCACGTGGTCTACCAGGGCACCTTGGAGGTTAGGAAGGAAGGATGCTAGAGAGTGGGACTTAGACTTGAGAGAAAAGGATGGAAGGAAAACGAAATTGAGGACAAAACTCAAAAGTACGTCTTATGGTCTGTGAAGGGACAGGTGGGGAAGAAAAAAAGTACAGATGAAAGAGAAAATGAAGGAGAAGGTGGTGAGATCGGTAAGGAAGTGAGTCAGAATCAGAGAACTATAAAGTGAAAGAAAGATGACATTCAAATTCCCTACGTTCCAGGCAAATGAGCTGGTCCTTAAACAACTGTCCACAGGAGAGGCCCAGAGTCAGCCCACGTTTCATTGCATGATCGTATTTCAAGGTGACTAAAAACATCACCTCTTCCTTGAAGCCCTCAGGAACCCTCCTACTCTGCAGCCCCCATCAGTGTCTCCTTTATCACACTGGCCACTTTCAGCCTCCCCATTTCACTTATTTAGGTACATGACTCATCTCTCTTGCAGGGAAGTCCATGTCTTACTCATCTTTGATTAGACCCAAGCTCCTCACCTTATGCCTGCACCCGGTAGGGGCTCAGTGCATTTAAAAATACATATATTTATTTGAAGGAAATGAGTGTCCCAATAAGAAGTAAATTTAGGGCCGGGCGTGGTGGCTCACGCCTGTAATCCCAGCACTTTGGGAGGCCAAGGCGGGCAGATCACTGGAGGTCAGGAATTCATGACTAGCATGGCCAGCATGGTGAAATCCCGTCTCTACTAAAAATACAAAAATTAGCCGGGCATGGTGACAGGTGCCTGTAATCCCAGCTACTCAGGAGGCTAAGGCGGGAGAATCACTTGAACCCAGGAGGCAGAGGTTGCAATGAGCCGAGATCGCGCCATTGCACTCCAGCCTGGGTGACGACAGCGAAACTCCATTTCAAGAAAAAAAAGAAAAAGGAAAAGAAGGAAAAGAAATTTAGGAGAAGGAGAGTAACAGGAAGTTGGAGAGGGGAAAAGCGAGATGGGGCACAGAGACAGAGAGACTGAGTCAGGAAGGGGGTGAAGGAGGGAGAGAAGGTGGAGGCCTGAGAAGGGAGAAAGAGTGTCCTGCTTGCGTAGAGCTGAGGGTCTCTGCTGGCCCTGTGTGGGGTTCAGTTGCCCTTGCCCCTGGGGATGGGGAAACCATCAGGAAAGGACTCAGTTTGCTCAGGATCCAGTAGGATTGGGAGGAAGAAATCCTATGGGGCGGGAGGGGAGAAGCTGGTGGATGGAGGAAGTGCCAGGGGTCAGGAGCAGCCAGGATCTTTTGCCAAATCCCAGGACAACCCCCAGGAGGTCTGCAGTGTCACTGCTCCCTCCAGGAAGAGCCCAAACCAGAGAAGGACGCACCATCCCCAGCAGCAGGCCTGGGAGTTCCTGACTCTGCTCTGGGACCGAGCGGCCGACTGCCTGTCCCTCTCTGTTATAGCTTTCTCCATCATCTCCACGGCCCTGAGCACCATCCAAAGGCATCCTGTTTACCATGTCCATATATTTGTTTATTGTCTGTTTCTCTCAATGCAGAGGAAACTCCATGAAGGGAGGGAGCTGGTGGGCCTCTTGGTGCCTAGCACAGTGCCTGGAGATGCTCATGAAATGCAGCACGGATTAAGGAGTGGAAGGACAGGGCGGGTGAGACAGTCACACGGGCTGTGTGTGGTAGGGGGCGGGGGGCTGCTTGGAGGTGGCGTTGATGAAGCACTTTACTAACCACAGCTCCTAAAATAAAGGCGTCTGGGCTCTGAGCTGAGAGTCCTTGAGACGAGAAAGGCCCTTCTAGGACTCATTGTGTGGCTGTCAGCCTGAGTGGGGGCAGCTGCAGGGAGACAAGGTGATGCGGGAGGGAATGCCATGCCTGGCCCACCACACCTGCTTTCAGGCAGTGAGGAACCCACCAGTGGCCTGTTGTGGCTGCATGAGACGTGAAGAGGCTGACCCTGCTACCCAGGGAGAGGGGGCCTGGGCAGAACACGGAGCCCCGCTAGTCACAGAAGTGTCGGGGGAAGGAATGAGTGTGTGCCAAGTAAACTAAGGGCTCATGACGCCAGGCGCCCTGCTGGGCACTGCATCAGTTTCCCTCAGTGATTTCTCCCCACAAGGCCCAGAGGAAGGGATTATTGAAACAGGTAAAGAGCCTAAGGCTCAGGGAGGTGACGTGACCAGTCCAGGGCCACACGGTGGGTGGTGGCAGAGACAGGAGCTGACCAAATTGGCTCCCTGCACATCACTGGGCCTCCAACACAGTCTCAGGCTGGGGACACTCACCTCCAGATGGCTGCTGACCTCTGTAGGGACTTTTGGTGTGATGCAGAGAGAGGGGAAGGAAGGGGAGAGAACTGGGGAGACAGGTGGATAATTTCCTTTTCTGCAAAATAAGGAGTGAGATAGATGTCCTTGTAGCTGCTTCTTCACCTTCCTTTTGTTCCCTTCTGTTCTATTCCTCCCTGGGCTACCTGCTTCAGGCTGAGAACATCCCAGCTGTCCTCTCCGCACCCTCTGTGAGACCTTGGGCAGGCCCTTCACCTCTCTGAGCCTGGCCATTTCATCTGTGAAATACTGATAACACTTTTGACCTGTGAGGTCAAAGGGTGACTGTGAGGAGTGAAGAAGGCAGAGGAAGCCGATGAAACCTGGTACCTAAGAGATGCCCCTGGTATCAGCCAGAGGTTCCAGGACACCCACTTCCAATCCCAGACACTCCACTTGGCTGCCAGAGATAACTTTCTAAAATGAAAGGCGGCCCTTGACCCTCCCTGTCCAGAGCCTTGAATAGACACTTTGGGAAAGAGGATGTCCAAATGGCTAGGAAGCATATGAAAAGGTGTTTAACCTACTCGTCTTTGGGGAAATAAAAATTCCAACGGCACCACTCCACATCCACCAGAATCGCTGAAATGGAAAAGACGGAAAATACCAAATGTTGGTGAGGGTTTGGAGCTCCTGAAACTTCCACCAAGTAGCTACAGTAGGGAATGTAAATTGCTACTATCATTTTGGAAGAAACATTTGACAGTATCTGCTAGAGCTGAACCCGCATCTCGTGTGATGCAGCAACTCCACTCCTTGGCATAAACCCCCTAGAAATGTGTACATGTGTTTTTCCAAAGACACGTGCAAGAATCTTCATGGCAGCGCTTCTCCCAAGAGTCTAAAGCTGAAAACAACCCAAGTGGCTATCAACACTAGAACTGCATTTTGGTCTAGTCCCACGATGAGATTTACTCCAGCAATGAGAATGAATGACAACCACATGCAACAACTCAAGAGACTCTCCAACGTCGCTGAGCAGGGGTCCAACACGGCGTGATTTCATTTATATGAAGTTCAAAAACAGCCAATGAATCTATGAAATTAGAAGTCGGGGCCGGGCGCGGTGGCTCACGCCTGTAATCCCAGCACTTTGGGAGGCTGAGGTGGGCCGATCATGAGATCAAGAGATTGAGACCATCCTGGCCAACCAACATGGTGAAACCCCATCTCTACTAAAAATACAAAATTAGCTGGGCATAGTGGCGCATGCCTGTAGTCCCAGCTACTTGGGAGGCTGAGGCAGGAGAATCGCTTGAACCCGGGAGACAGAGGTTGCAGTGAACCGAGATCGCATCACTACACTCCAGCCCAGGTGACAGAGCAAGACTCTGTCTCAAAAAAAAAAAAAAAAAAAAAAAAAAAAAGGTTGGGACAGCAGCTCCTTTTGCAGGGAGGTGGGGACTGGAAAGGGGAGCAAAGGGAGCTTCCGTGATGGCAAGTTTCTGTGTCTCGAGCTGGGGAAGGTTACGTGGGCGTGTTCACTTTGTGAAAACTCACTGAGCTGTAAACTTAGGAGAACTTTATGAACATAGGTTATAGTTCAGTAATTTTTTTTTCCTGAAAAAACAAAAATGAAAAACAACTCGCCCTTCCATGGCTTCCTCCTAGCCTGGGACAGGGTCTCTGCTCTGTGGCTGTCTGCAAGGCCCTTTTCTGCTGGATCAGCCCACCTGTCACCACTCCCTGCTCAAGCACTAGAGAAAGGGGTGGGTTTTCCACACACAGGCTGATTTTCACCTCTATGCCTTTGCCCATGGTGCCCCTCTAGCTGGTATCCCTTTTCTCCCGACTTTCTGTTTGCCTCCTCATCCTTCCCCTCCCTAGTGGGCCAGCTACCCCCACTCTGAGCTCCCACAGCCCCCATTGAACTTTCCTTTATCTCAGCAATACTCAAATGGTTTCCATGTTATCATCTACATGCCTGCCCACTCTCCCAAGGTCAAGGCCACGGATTCATTTCTTGCGCTTATGCTCAGCCTGGGGCCAGGCAGGGTGGAGAAACAGGGAGTGCTTGCAGAATGAATGAAGGAAAGTTTGCTCTTATTTGAGGCTCCTGTTTTCCCCTCTGTGGCTCCCCACACTTAACCCTAGGTTGAACCTCCATCATTGTCCTGTGGCAGTCTTCCTGAGATTTCTTTTCTATGGGACACATGTCCCCAGTCCTGATCCTGTCTCCCATGTGTGATGGGTTTCTCTGTTTCCTTTTGTGAACCAGAAATGGATACACATTCCTCCACCCTGATCCCCTCACCTCCTTCATCCTCACTATACTCAGTTCCCCCGCACAACTCCTGAGGGCAAAGACTGTGATTAGTCAGCCAGGTGGGGAAGTGAGCCAGGCACCTTCCCCTCAATCCCTAGTCCCTAGGGACATCAGACCCTCTCTTCACAAACATCGTGGGAGTAATTAAAAAATGGAGCAAGATGCTCAGGGCTTGTAGGGCGAGGGGGGCAGTAGGAAGAGTAGTGAGCTTCTTGTCATCAGAGGTGTGCAAATAGGAACTGGCTGGCTGCAGTCAGGGGAGGTTGGACTCAGTCCCTCTGACCCCAGTGGGGGAAAAGGAGAAACAGTGACATCAGTTGAGGTCATACTGTGCGTTAGGACATTACGCATTAGACACGTGATGTCAGAGACTATGCGCAGTTGTTCAGGGAGGTAGGTGTTATCCTTGTACCCATTAGACAGGCGATAAAGCTGAAACTCAGAGCGGTGAAGGGTCTTGCTAGGTAGGAAGCTGACTTACTAGGAAAGAACTGGAATTTGAACCCAGATCTTTCTGGCTCCTAAGCTTCTGCTCTTTCTAGAGCCATCTAAGATCCTGTGATTCCATCCCAAAGAAACATCTGCTGTTGTGATATAGCCTGAAGAAAGCATGGCAAGTGTCTTGGAGCCCCCTGGAGTGGGGCCCACTGACTTGCTATCGGCCATGGTCTGGCCAAGGCTGTCAGAGCAGTGAGGGTCGGTATCCCCGAGTGCACTGGCGTCTGAGCCCTTCCAACAGCTGCAGTCGCTCTTGGGTCACCATGGACACCACGTAAGATGTTGAAGGGACCAGGTGGCAATTTCTTTCTGAACAGTTTGCCCATTGGCATTTGACCTCTATTTTTCCATCAACTTGATTTTCATTTGCTAGTGTTTACTGATTGGAAAAATAAGGAAAGGTGGAAAGCTCAGGTTAATGAAATTCTCTCCCCACTCTTTTCCCACTTTTTAGGATGTGTTGAGTTAAACATGCAAATTAAGAGGTGCTTTCATGTACCAGCCATGAGGCACCTCTGGTTCTCAGTGATGCTGGCAAGTTTCTGTGTCTCGAGCACCTCTGGTTCCTGGCTGCCTCTGCCCCACGCATAGCCCAAGTCCTCCTTTTGGACCCCTGGCTCCCCAGCACTGCCAGCGGCAGGTCAGGGCTTGTGCTGCAAGAACGTGAACTCAGTGAATTCTTTCCCGCCCCTGATGGTGAGATAGGTCATGTGACTAGTTTTGGCCAACGGCCTGTGAGAAGAATCAATCAGTGTCACTTCTGGGCTGAGGTATTAAGAGTGACTGTTGGCTGGGTGCGGTGGCTCAAGCCTGTAATCCTAGCACTTTGGGAGGCTGAGGCGGGCAGATCACAAGGTCAGGAGATCAAGACCATCCTGGCTAACACGGTGAAACCCCGCCTCTACTAAAAATACAAAAATTAGCTGGGCATGGTGATGCGGGCCTGTAATCCCAACTACTTGGGAGGCTGAGGCAGGAGAATCGCTTGAACCCAGAAGCTGGAGGTTGCAGTGAGCCGAGATTGCACCACTGCACTCCAGCCTGGCGACAGAGTGAGACTCTGTCTCAAAAAAAAAAAAGAGTGACTGTGAGTTCTCCACTCACTCTCTTCCGCTGCTGCATAGTGGCGGAGCCGGCCTAGATCCCGGAGTCACCGATTGGAAGGATGCTGCCTGGAGAGCTGCTGGCTCCACAGAAGACATCATGTTAAGGAGAAACAAATCTTTGTTGTATTAAGTCACAACAGGATTTGAGGATTAACTGGTTGCCACAGTATAACCTTGAGACCTGCAGTCCCTATAGGCCCCTTCCATCAATGCCACAGCCCTTCATGTGTGTCAGGCATGATGCTGGGCATAGATGTAACAAGAGACAGTGGGTCTCCTCAAGGAGCTTACAGTCAAAAAGCAGCAGACAAAAACAAACGAACTTGTGTGCCTCCAAGTAACACAGAGGGTCAATGCTGTGACAAAAGGAAATACAGGGTCTGTGGGAGTCCAAAGAATTGGTGGCAAGGCAGAGGGAGGGGCAAGTCATGGAAGGCTTCCTGGAGGAAGTGATGTCTCATCTTAGTTGTAGTGGATGAGTAGAAGTTAGTTCCCATGGTCACAAACTGGTGGTACATATTGTTTGGTCAACACAACATTTAATTGTTTTCCTGTGAATTGATAATACTAAAAAAGGAGGAGTTTCACATAGAACTCCTGATTTGGGCCTTCATTTAAACAAACCAGCCCAGGTGTAACCATCAACCCTGGGGCCCCGTGCCTGTGTGGTAACTGCTGGAGTGGTAACTCCACTCCCTGGAGTGGGCAGCGGCTGTCCTGCTAGCTAAGCATGTCTGTCCCCTGTCACAGTTCCTCCATGCATGTGCTCTCCGCCAAGCCTGCTGACGAGCGGGTTTGCAGCCCCTGAGTGAGTCGGTTCTCATTAGACTTCCTCAGCCCAGCAGATCCTTTTCAGCCCTGGGGCCAAGGATCAGACTTGCCCAGTACCCTTCCCCTAGGGCCCCCAGCCCATCGGAGGACCCTCACTGCAGCAGCTCACCACCTTACTCAGGTACAGCAGACCACTGCTCCCAGACTGGGATGGTGACGTTTGTCCATTCAGGGTAGGAGAAAGGAGGCCTCAGGGATGGTCCCAGAGAGTGAAACCTAGGAGACCACAGTGCCTCGTACTCCCTGGGATCCTTCTGGTAGACATTTGCTGGTTTGAGCTGCCCAGAATCCACTCCTCCTCCTTCTGGTGACAGCCCTTTGATTTTCCTTGTGGGAACCACCCCTCCCTCACGTTCAATCTCGGAAGCAGTCCTGTCAAGCCGCCATGCTTTGGGCTGGCCGAGAGGAGGACACGGGACCCACGCCAAGCCAGCTGTCTCCCTCCTGGGGCTGTGACTCATGAGCCGAGTGATGCAAGGAGGAAAAAAGCGGCTGTGGCTGAGATGCATCCCAGAGGGGACCTGGACAAAACCGGCCTCAGGTCCTGCTTCCAGACCCCTTGTGCAGCTTTGGCTCTGGTCCTTTCCTGAGCCCTGTGTCCAGCTTTCCCTTTGGTTCTGGGTCCCATCTGATAACCTCGATAACCCCCTTTTCTGTCTGAGTCTGACAGAGTTAGTCTCTGTTGCTTGCTATCAGTGTACCCTAATTCACACCCAGCCCCTCTCTAAGGCTGCTGTGAACTGTTGAGGTTCACACCTGATTCCTTGAACACCAGGCTGACACGGGCTGCCTCTTCCTGTCCCTCAGCTCCTTCCTGCCCCCGCTGGATAATCCAAGTTATGATCAACCACTGGACCACAGCCTCTAATTAAGACCCCCTTCTGGATGTAATCAACCTTGCCAGAAACCAGAGGCCTAGGGTCTGTTTCAGATCCACCCTCTGGTGGTAGCCCTGACCTCACTGACTGCTGGCCAGGCTGCTGTCCTGGTCTCTGCACTCCCGGCTCAGGCAGGAGGCTCTGGGTCACCTGCCCAGCAATCTCCCTCCTTCTTAGGATGGGGCCTCCTTTGCCCTCCCCAGGGTGAGGACTGCCCCGGAGGCTGTGGTGGGGCCTGGAGACATTCCTGCCTCTGGGCCCAGCATGGGCTCTGGAGCCATGGAAGCCCTTGCAACACCTTTGCCAGGTGACTCTTGCCTCAGTCATACACCACTTCTCTCTGTTTTCCTCATGTACATCTTGCATTTACTATTACTCACTTTATACTTAGCAAGAGTAACAGGTTCATTTTTTGACCTTTAATACATATATTTGGAAAGAGAACATAAGATCCTTCTCATAAACAGGAATGCAGTATCCTGTTCTGTAAATAGAAGGCCATGGTTAAAAACAAATAAATGGAAAATAAAACATCGTTTATCCACTTCCAGCTAGTTACTGTTGCCGGCTGAAGTCTGAGCCTCTTCCTTGGAAAGGAAATCAAGCTGGTTAAGGAGAGGCTAACCTTCAATTGAGACTCTCTCCTTGATGTAATCAACCAAAAAGGCAGTCATTCTCTCCCAGTGCTATTTAATTTGTGCCTGAATAACTCTTCAAATTGTCTCATGGATCCCCGATGGTCTGTGCCCACTTTGTGGGAGATGCTACCTCAGCAGCCTCGGACTGCTCTGTGTGCCTGTGGCCAGCTCCCTGGCCACACTTGACCACTTCTGCCCATCAGAGCTGGATCCATGGCTGCCTGTCTCATGCCCACCCCACACTGTTCCAGACCGACTGGGCCTGGGCCCCTACTTTGTCCCAGGAAGCTTTGTTTTTGTTTTGTTTTGTTTTTTGAGCATGGTTCTAGGTTCAACCACCCCAGGGAGCTAAAATAGAAGGATATAAGAACTAACTTTTTGAGCCCTTCTTAAGTGACAGACACTGTGATTGGTGTTTACATAGATTCTCTCAATTTCCCCCAAATTTCAGTCATTCCTGTGCCACCTTCATGATTTCTGCCCTATCACTTACTTAGTATTTCTCTTTAAATTGATTTGCCTTTTTAAAAAGATCACAATTTTATTTTCAGAGGAAATGCCATATTATTTTCATAAATCACAGTTTAGTGTGCTGGTTATATATTTCTAACACGCATCACTTGCGAGCTATTAAAATAATAAATGTTCATCTGTATACCAGCTAAAGTCATCTTGTACAGCATCAATCAATCACACGTGTGCCAGCCTCTGGGAGGTACCAGAGCCGCTTAGCTGTGCTCATACAGCCCTGGGAGGGTGGCTCGTGGCTGAGAATGTGGAGGCTCAAAGGGACACTTGCCCCAAGTCCCACTGGTGGAAAGGGATGGAGCTGAGATCTGGACCCAGTCTACCTCCAAAGGCATAGGCTCTTTCAATGCCAGTACTTTCCCAAATGCACTTTTTAAAATCAAAAGAACCCTTTAAAAGTAAAAATTTAGGAGGAAATCCAACATATACAACAGATAAAAGCGAAGCTTTTGTGGTTGAAATGGATTTGGAGGATCTAGGGCTTCTTCTTTGAGGCCTTCTCTTCCCCAAACCCATCCCATAATGGGCCCTGAGAACCTTCTTAGAAGCCCAGGATGCTGAGGAACATTATTTCAAGCTCACATTGCACCACCCTGTCCCTTGGCTCCATTTAGTGCATTATTTTTCCATGAGCCAAATTCCTGAGGGGCAGCTTCTGGGTCTATCTTATTTTTTCTGGCTAGGCGTCTCTACCTTGGACCTTGGCCACCTTGAAATCTTGAAATTTTCCATTTTGCCATCTTGAAATCTTCCACTGGCTTTCTAAATCTTACTCTGACCTGATTATTCACTCATCAAACACTGATGTCTAAAATCTGTACCCAGATTTTTAGGGGGTACAAAGGGGATGATAGGAACGCAACATATTTCCTTTGGTGGGTTCCCAGACCCGTGTGAGAGACAGACACTGGTCAAGTGCAGTAAGCGTGTGAGCAGCCCCTGCTCACCTGAAGCTCACTGGTGTTCTCATTCCTGTCTCCCTCAGGTGCTGGCTGCATTCTGTGGTGGGCAGGGCCTGGGATGGGGCTGGCCAAGGGGCCTGAGCTGTGCTGGCTGCCCTCCGCATGGTGAGGCTATAGGTCTTGCCTGATTTCCCAGTGTACTTTCTGGGTCATTTTCCCTTCAGCAAACACTGCCTGACATAAGTCTAGAGTTAGAATCACATCTCACTCAGATCCCCAAACCCTCGCTTCCATGGGAGGACCCACCTACAATGGTCCCAGCATCTGTAGTATGAAACTCTGCCTGGTTCCCAGCCTCACCCTGTCTTCTCTCCTCATTGCTGAGTCTAGTTGACCTTCCAACCTGGAGGCCATCCTCCCACTGAAGTGGGTACCCCAAAAAGATCCCTCTATGCCAGTAAGAAAGGCTTCTATTGCCTTAAAAATATGAAAAGGTCCTGGCAGAGTTCCAATAGATTTTAAAGATTCCTAAGGGACATTTAGCCATGTGGTGCCCCCTGACTGAGCCAAGACTGCTATCCAGCTCTTCAGTGCTGACTATGGCCCTGGTCCTCTCTGAAAGGCCTCTATCTTCGGGACACTCTGTAATGTCCCCAGAACATCACCTGTGAAGTCTCCCCTGTGCTATGAGACCAGCCAGGTCTTAGCTAAGTCCAAGTTTCAGGAAGCTTCTCTCTCGGTGGGCCCAAGAGTTGAGTCCACCAGTAAACTCAGAACAACTCAAGTCAATTCAAGCCAAGTCAACTCAGATCAACTCAAGTCAATGCACCTCATCTTCACAACATGAATATGTGCTGTGGACCTCTCTGCCTATTCGACATCACTCTGAGCCAGGCTCTAGTTGAGAGAAAGGCAGAATCCACCAATAAAATGACACAGTCTTGATTTTCAAGGAGTTTTCTGTTTTGAACCCAGATTCCAGACTCAAATTTTTTCTTGAGCTGAGGGAACCCCTTGCACCAGGGGCTGGAGAAAGATCCTCCTTTCTGGCCTGGAGACAGGCCAACCAACAGCCTAATCCTGAAGTTTGCTTCTCAAGACTTTTCAAACCACCCTTCCTGGGTAGTATGACTTTGTTAACTCAGAATGCAGAGTCAGCTGGCTCCTCCAGCTTTAAGATCTGGTTTATATGGGTCCTGAACCAATCATTCATAATCATTCATTCATTTATTCACAAACCTGCATCGAGCACTTACTATGTGCCATCCACCTTACATATATTATCTCATTTAATCCTCAGAGTAATCAATGTGAAAGAAAAACCAGTAAGGGGCCAGCTAGACTTCAACTTGGCCCTCATTCCAAAGCCCGTGCTCTTTCCATCTCATCCCACTGCCTCTTAGAACAATTGAATAGAATCTATAACACAGGCTAGAGATCACTGAATGCTTAAACCAATACATTCTATATGGAGGGAAAGAGTGGATTAATGAATATTTTATGTAAGACCAAATTCCACCTGACCAGTTTATTAGAATTCTTTGAGAAGTGAACTATGTAGGGAGATAAAGCGAGACTTTCACAAAAAGCCTTTGTCAAGTTTCCATCCCAAAGCCTATTAATAAAATTGATTCATTATAGAATTGGGCAGAGGTGGGTGGTGAGTGGGAGGGAGTCTATTTTTGCATGGATAGGGAACTGGCTTAGAGACAAGAAAGAGAGGGTGGAGATAGATGGGTGCTTTTCCAAATGGGTTCCCCAGGAATTGGTACTGAGTTTGGTCTTATATAACACTCAGTACACACGTATTGAGCAGCCAGTGTGTGCAGGTCTTGCACTAAGCATGGGGCTGGAGTACCCAAACAAGCTGGAGTCAGCTCTTGTCCTGCAAGAGCCCAAAGGTGCAAGTGCTCAGTGACATCTCCAAATTTTGGAAGATGAGAAGCTCCTCAGTGAGAGGAAATGCCAAGACATTGGAGACAAAACCTGAAGAAGGTTGCTGGGAATGTGGAAACCCCAGACAGCAGCCAGAAGGTCTGGGCTTTAGCACCAGCTCTGTCCCCGACTCTCTGTGTGACACTGGGCCAGTCCCTCCCCACTCTGGGTCTCAGTTTTCTCTCCTACACAATGAAGGAATTGGACAAGATGATCCCTAAGGGTGCAAGGCTCTGGATGGAGGAGAATGACTTACAGTAGGAACTAGTTATGAGGAAATCTTCATTTCCTGTGGCCAAAATGTTCCCTTCTGTCCCTGCCCTGTGATGGGAGGCCCCCCTCCCACCTCTCATTTGTGAACAGTGAAGACAAGGCAGAGAGCCATGAGGTCTGTGATGCTGGGGCTCGGAGCCCAGCCTGGAATTCCTCAGTGGCATTCTCTGCGAATGACTCAGCATCATAAATAGCTCCCATCTGGATGAGCAACGATATCTATAGCGATCGAGCGATCTCTATATCCACATACACTCTCTCTGTGCAAATATGTGGCTCACTGTATGCTAAATACGAGGTGGCCTGGAGACGTTCCTTCTCTTAAGAGACTATTTGGTATGAAACTCAAGACTGTTTATTTAAAGAAACAAGTTTACAACTATGCACACTGGATTACTGGTCGTGGGTGGTGGGGAAGAGGCGATGTGGATGAGGGATGCCGGGTGTGATCCGAGCTTGGCCGGCCACCTGGAAGAGGAGCTGAGGTTGACTCCTCCACCCATAAGATGGTTGGGATCCTGGGCTGGGGAGGGGGTGGCATGGGGGATGTTGAGCTCATCAGTGCAGGAAGCCGTGGCTCAGCAGAAAAAGCACAGGATCTGACAGTGACAAGAGAGCCAAGTGCCAGCCCAGCCCTGCCTTTCCATTCATCTTGGGCAGTTCATCAGTTCATTCATTCATTCATCAAACATGTACCAAGCACCTACAATGTGCACAGGCCATTGGGATACGGACATGAAAAAGCTTGGAATTCAGCCTTAGCTACCTACCAGCTGTGTGTCTTTAGGCAAGTCCTTTCACTCTCTGAGCTTCAGTTTTCTCATCTGTAACTGGGGATAATAATATCCACCTCAGGTTTTTTGGGGAGCACTGAATAAGGCATTGCACAAGAAAGTGCTTCTCTGTTGTAAACGGCTCTGAACATGCAAGGTAAACACCATTCCATCACACTGCCCAACTGATCCATCTCACTCCATCTTAGGACTGTTCTTGGCAATCACAGAGGGGAAGACGTGCCCCCTTCATCAGGGCTCCAGGGATGAGGGGATGCCCTGAACACTATCCAGGGCTTTAGTGCTGAGCAGTGCCCTTACCTTTGCTTCCTGGCAGAGCTGGGATGCGGGCACCTTCAGTCGCTGAGCAGAGCAGATAGCATGGCAGGGACCACACCTTCCTGGAGGAGGAGAGAGGAGGTTGAGGGCTAAGGAGAGAGCTTCTTGGGGAATTGGCTTGCTGAATGGGCATGGAGCCCCAGACCCCAGTGAAGGCATGCCCTCACTTCTCCGGAGGCCACCACTGCTGCTCTTGATTCCAGCAAAGGGCTGGGCGGGATGGGACCCTGCCTGGCATCAGACCCAACTCCTGGCCCACCTCACCCAATCTGATAGTAGTTACTCATCTTGTTCACTGGTGCGGGTAGCACTGTACCATTGACCGTACTTTGGTGGTAGTACAATTGACCATACTTTTCTTACTTAAATGTGATTTCTGATTGGTGTAAAGGGACAGGATTTATCATCAATCATATCTGGTTTTGAATTCCAGCTTTGGGGATGTCCTCTCTGAGCCTCAGTGTCCTCATCTGTAAAATGGGATGCCTAATACTACTGGCCTCATATACTCAGTGCTATATAAGTGCTTGTTATGATTGCTGTTGTTAAATAAGACCACGTCTGTGAAGATTTTTTTTTTACACTATAGCTCCTTAAATTTTAATTACCTTCCTCTGCTTGATTCTAGGGGGCACCATGCATTCCGTAAAAGGCAAAGGTTGGCCGTTACATGACTTTGTTTCCAGAGCTCTGCACGGGGCCGGGCAGATTGTAGGTGCCAGTAAATAATTGTTGACTGAGCATCGTGACAAGTTTGCTAGATTTGGTATCACATATTTAGGATGAGTGAGGTCGATGTTCCATCCTCATTTGATAGATGAAAATACTGATGCGGAGAGGGGGAGATGGTCTGCTTAAGATCACACAGGGGTAGGTGTGGAGCTGGAACTCTTCTCTCTGCAGCTCTTGCTCTCTGCTGCAGCCAGGCCCCCACTGGGCGGGGCACCAAGGCCCCAGCAACTGAAGGGGCTGCAATGTCCTCCTCCCAGGACAACCTGTCGCCTCCTCCCCCAGCTCTCTATTTCCTCTTCTTTTAGTAACGATAGCCCTGCTCTCAGTGGCTCCAGGAAGCAGATACTATTGTCTCACTTGCAGAGGTGAGGACTAAGGATGAGAGGCATGAACGGTTGGCCCAGATCAGGGAGACAGTATAGAGTGAATCAGGGATTCCCACAGGGATCAGCCCACTCCAGGCACCGTTACCTCCTAACACAATCCTCAGACCCCCACTTCCCTCCCCTCTTCCTTTGCTGGAATAGGAGCTTCTTGGGGCCGAGCCCAGTGGTTTCCCCAGAGCCTGGCATTTAGCAGGACTTGATAAGTATATGTTGAGTGAATGAATGAATGAATGAATGATGAGTAAGTGGGTGAATGACTCTGCCAGGCTGTGTTCTAAATGCTGGTGACAACTGCAGTGAAAAGGGCAGGCATGATCCCTGCTCTCAGGGAGCTGACAATATTTGAATTTAAAACTAGCAACTGGATTAAAAACAGGGCAGATGTTCCTGTTTCCAGCTTGCTGGGGAGGGAGAAAGGGTAGGCGCCTGTGGGCTGCAGCCTGCTGTCTGCCCAGGGAACGAGCACCTGGGAGCAAATGGCATCTTCCCTGTCCTTAGGTGGGGCCACCTGTGTGCAGGGACAGGAGGCTGGCCTTTAAGAAGGGAAGGAAAGAAGGAGAGGTGGTACAATTCTGTGTTTAATGTCTACCTACTGCTCAGTCCCAAACAGCTAGCGCGTCATCTGGCACATAGTATGTGCTTAGTAAACTTTTGTTCCATGAATGAAGAGTGGGCAGAACACATGTTGGGATGACTTGGGTCTAGGAGGCAGGGAGAATCAAAAGCGTGAACTACTAGAATTATTATGACTTAGAATGGAGCGTCATTCCTTACAGAGCCTTTTCACACACTAGTCATTCTCCTGTGCAGGCGAGGGGCCCGTTGAGCACGCACTTGCTGGTGAGTTTTCTGTGCCTCTGTGCTGGGCACTGGTGGTGTTGGTGTAAACAAAACAGCAATGCCACCACCTTCAGTGTATTTACTGTGTGCCAAACCCCCACAGTCACAATCCTTAACACTCCCGCTAGCCTGGCAAGGCCAATGTCATAACCCCTACCACACAGAGGATGGCACGGAGGCCCAGAGAGGCCTTGATCTCGCACAGTGGAAACCCGTGAGTAACTAAGTAGGAGAATGACTCTGCCAAGGTCTCTTGTCTTACTCTAAGAGTGAGACATAAAAACTTCATAGCTGAGGCTGGTCGCAGTGGCTCACACCTGTAATCCCAGCACTTTGGGAGGCTGAGGTGATGGATCGCCTGAGGTAGGGAGTTTGAGACCAACCTGACCAACATGGAGAAACCCCATCTCTACTAAAAAAAAAAAAAATACAAAATTAACCGGGCGTGGTGACACATGCCTGTAATCCCAGCTACTCGGGAGGCTGAGACAGGAGAATCACTTGAACCCAGGAGGCAGAGGTTGCGGTGAGCCAAGATGGCACCATTGCACTCCAGCCTGGGCAACAAGAGTGAAACTCTGTCTCAAAAACAAAAAAAGTTCACAGCCGAATGGGGACACGAGCAGGAAAGCAGATCCTTAAGCTACAGTGTGTCACCCCCTCTAACACAGGTTTCTCTAAGGTGCCTCTCTCTTCATCACCTTAGAGAAGCTGGAGGGCTTCTCTGAAAAGGTGAGTCTGGAGCTAAGGATTTGCAGAGGCCAAGTGGATAGTGAGGCAGGAAGGGCTTTCCAGGCAGAAGGAACAGCATCTGCAAAGACACGGGGGATGCATGGTTTACTGAGGGAACTGGGAGGAAGGTGGCTTGGCTGGAGCCTCAGGGCCAAAAAAAAAAAGACTGGCGGGTTGTCAGAGCCAGTTTAGAAGGGGCCTTAGAGGAGCTTGGGCTTCACCTTGAGGGTGATGGGGAGCCATTGCAGGGCTCAGCTCTGCGCTCTAGATCCTTCCAGGCACCTCAGGGGCTCAAGGATGAGAAAGGGAGCATGAAGGTGGGGAATCTGGGGTGCTCTTAACAGGCTGTGGACAGGGAACTGTGCTAAGGCAGTGGCTTGGGGTGGCAAAGATAGGAGGAGTAGCTATCAGGACTCAGGGCTTGATGAGGTGTGGAGCTGAGGGAGAATGGGACTCAGCCTGCTGGCTTGGGTGTGTGTGTAGCGGTGACATGGGCGTCTGTGGCAGTCAACCCTCTCATCAGCTGACCCATGCTGTGGAGTTGGAGGTCCTCTCCCAGCCACGAGAAAATCGCTGTGGCAGCTCCTAGTGCCAGTTCCAGCAAAGGCTTCCCCTACCACCTGACTGCTTGCAGACCATGTCCTGGCAACCTCGCAGCCCTCCCCTTGGCAACGTGAGCTCCTCTGACTGTGCTGGAAGGAAAGGTGGGGCTGGGATGCCCCCTGACCACTAGACCCACCCAGGGAACTTGCCACTTGCAGCCTGCCCGGCTCATCAGGTGGAGGCTGGCCAACCAGGTGAGGGAGGTGGTCTGGACACGGAAAGCCTTGGGAGCTGGGTTCTGACCCCAGAGCTGACGCTCTGTGTGAATGATCTTGGACACGTTTCTTCCCCTCCACAGGTGTCCGTTTTCCCTTCTGCAAAACAAAAAGGGATCTCTGCAGTCTAATGCTGTCTCATCCCATTTTTTATATTTTCCATGCTTATTGCTCGGATTCTCTGTTGCTGACACAGATTTTAGTGTCAGACTCCAGGGATTTAAATCCTAGTGGACAAGTCACCTCATCCCTGAGTCTAGATTTTTTTCTCTGAAAAATGGATATATCTTATGCTTACTCAAAAGGGTTATTAGGGTTGGCTGAAATGGCGTCAACTGAAATGCTTTACAAATGGCAAAGAATAATTAATATGAATGTTATTGATTTCATTTCATCACATGGTCTATGCTCTATTGAAATTCATTGACCCACCACCAGCAGCGGCCACAGCAGCAAGAGTTTACCGAATGCTTACTATGTGCCAAGCATTGTGCTGAGTGTTTTCCTAATATTACAACAACCATAGAAGCTACCTATAATTATTATCCCCATTTTACATGTGAACAAAATGGAGGGCTCATACAGTTAAGTATAGAAAGAGCTTGGCCAGGGTCCCTCGCTTCAAAACTTGCTGGTTTAAAATGCATGAGGTGTCCACCTCAGGATCTCTTCTTACGTCTTGGGTTTTTCCTCTTGTCTGAAGTCAGAATCTAACAGGGTTGGGTAGTCAGGGGAGTAGCACTAACATTTAATGAGCATCTTTTATGTGCCAAGAGTTGACCAGGCTTTCAGACTTAAACGTGTGTGTCAATCACCGGGGTGTGTCAATCACCGGGGGGTCTTGTTAAAACACAGGTTCTGATTCAATGCCTCTGAGATGCAGCTGAGATCGTGCATTTCTAATAAACTCCCAGCTGATGTTGATGTTGCCGGTCCGTGGACCACACATTGAGTAGCCAGGCGCTAGAGGACTTTAACCAGTACCCTACTGAATCCTGGTGACTAAGTTTTATTAGTTCTGGATTCACAGATGGGGAAATTGAGGCTGGAGAGGCAATGCACCTTACTAGGCTCCCAAAGCATACAAGGGGTGGGTCTGATCCTACACAGCACCTTAGGGTACAGGCCCAGTATCACCTCCTTGATGTGTGATCCTTTCTCTGGGCTTCTGTCTCCACAGCCAAGGCAGGCAGTGTTCTCTGGGGCCCCCACCAGGAACAGTTTCTTATTTTTGGTTCACCATGAGCAGACTGGCTCTTGATACTGGCTCCTAGTGGGAACAGTGCTTGGCCCAGGCAGTGTCCCTGCAGTTAAGCAAATGTCTTCGGGCCAAGATTAGGTCCTGCTTATGCACAATTCATTTCACCTTCCTCACCCTAATCCCTGCTCTTTTGTATCCTGTCTTGATTTAAAATTTTGATATTTTATTCATCACGGTTTTTTTGCATTAATTTAAAAAAAAATTGCATAAAAAGTTATTTATCTTAATCAAGTTTTCAGCATCCCCTTAAATTGTGCACCAGAGGCAGGTGTCTTACTGGCCTCACCCCAGTCCTGGTGGCCTTATGTCGTCTCCCTCCCCCTGCATCCTCCCGGCATTAGGATGCTGCCCGCAAGGCACTGCAGCGCCCACACGGCTGCCAGCGCCAATGGATTTATTTCCCAGCAGGTGAGTCCTGCAGATGCATCACTTGGCCTGCCCCTTGGCTGACCTGCTCTAGAGATGGCAGCAGGGACTGTGGCCTGAAGGAGGGCCCAGGGGATCACTCTGACATGGGCTTCACCCCATCCACCCCTTACTGGCTGAGTGACTGAGGGAAGTGACTTCATCACAATTTAGATCACGCCACCCCTCTGTCTCCCAAAGAGACTCCCTCAGCCTTCAAGGTCCTGCCTAACCCAAGCCTTACAGCCTTTCCGCTGTCACCGTCTGTGACTCTCCTCCTTGCTCACTTGGTTTCTATCCTGCAATCTTGTCAGGTTTGTTTTTGCCCTAGGACCTCTGCATGTTCTGTTTCTTCTGCCTCCACGCTTGTCCCATAGGCAGCTTCTCATTCAGATGCCAGTCCCAATGCCTCTTCCTTGAAGCCTTCCCTGATTTAAACAGCCTCATCCTCCTCGGCACACTCCTCTCTTTTACTTTCTTCCTAGTATTTATATGACTTGGTGAAATGATTTTGTTTACTTGCCTGGCTTCTGTCTCCCAGTAGAAAGTGAGCTCCATAGAGGCATGGTCCTTGTCTTCGTCTTCCCTGTCTCTCCAGCTTCTAAAACAGTTATTGGCTCATACAGCTGCCCAGTGGGTATTGACGAATCAATGAGCCATTCCTTGGGCTTCAGTTTTCACATTTGGGAAATGGGATGATAACCCTAACCCACAGTGTTATTGTCACAATTGAAAGCACATTTGGGCCGAGCACTCTGGGTGGCTCATGCCTGTAATCCCAGCACTTCGGATCCCAGCAAACGGATCACCTGAGGTCAGGAGTTCGAGACCAACCTGGCCAACACGGTGAAACCCTGTCTCTACTAAAAATACAAAAATTAGTCTGGTGTGATGGCGGGTGCCTGTAATCCCAGCTACTCTGGAGGCTGAGGCAGGAGAATTGCTTGAACCTGGGAGGTGGATGTTGCAGTGAACCAAGATCATGACACTGCACTCCAGTCTGGGTGACAGAGCGAGACTCTGTCTCAAAAAAAAAAGGAAAATAAAAAAAAAGAAAGGAAGGAAGGAAGCACATTTGTTGAGCATCTGGTATGTGCCTGTCATTGTGCAAAATGACCCAGTGGGCCCTGGCGGTATTACCCCCATTTTATAGATGGTGGGACTTGCTCAAGATCGTCCAGCTAGGAAGGGTCAGGGCTGAGGCTCTCTCCTGTTGGAGAAGCACCTGGCCCCATGCCCTACTCTGCAGAGGTGTTCCTGATGTGAGAGCCAGGGCTGAGTTCCTCGGAGCCTTTTGCCATTTGCTGCTTGAACTGCAAGACCCTGCTTGCCCTCCTGGCTGTCGCAGCTTCCGACGAGTCAGAGACAGGAATTCTAATGGCTGGTTTTTGTGGAACAAAAAGGCCTGCCTCTTGCAAACGTGGAGATACATTTTCTCCGCATTGGCAATTACCACACTGAATGTCTGAGGAACAGTTTTCATCTGCCAGGCACTTTACCAAGATTAACTTCTGAACCCTATGCAGCAATGCTTGTTGCAGATTGAGGGGGCGGCAGGGAAAGTGTGGGCAGTGGTGTCTTTGATCACAGGAGAACCTAGGATTTGGAAGGGCTTGAGACCCCACGTCAACACCTCTGGAAGTTTGGTTTATTTTCCTGAGACTGGTTTCACCATTGTCCTGAAAGCACTGAGCTTCTAGAGGATTCAAGGTTTCTGATGTTTCCTGGCCCAACTGGCTACCAATTCAGCAATGTACCCCACAAATATTTTCTGAGAATACCCTAGGCATTATTCTAGACTCTGAGGATGCAATGATGGGACAAAATATATACTGCCTTTGTTCTCCTACAGATGTTAACTCAGTGGAGGAGCTGGAGGACAGAGACTCCTGCCAGTAACTGGCTGTGTGACTGTGGGTTAGTTCCCTTCCCTCTCTGGGCCTTTGGATTTTATCTTCCTCTCTACTCTGAACCCCCCTGCTTAAAAGTCTTCAATGGCTCCCATTGCTTACAGAGCAAGGTGGGCATCTCTGGTCTGGGATTCGAGGCCCCGAGCCGGGCTCTAGTGGACACTTCTTGGCATGTGCTCCCGGCTCGCCCATCTCCATTTTGCTCCGTTTTTATTTAGAATACTCGTACTCATACGGCACTTTCTGAGTGCCAGGAATGTCTGAGTGCTGCACATATTTTAACTTGTTTAACTCTCACAGAAATCCCTTGAAATAAGTCTTTGGACTCTCATCGTCTCCACTTTAAGAATGAGGACATCGAGTCACACAAGGGTAAACAACTTGCCTAAACCCACACAGCTTCTCAATGGCAGGGCTGGGATTTGAACCCAGGCAGCCTAGCTCCTGGGCCATGCCCTCCACAGCTACCACACGCTGCCCCTTGGTCCACCTATGCAGCAGCCTTACCACTCTCCTTTCCCAGATACAATCCCACATCCATTGCCCACCTCCATGAAGCCTTCCCAGATGCTTCCCAGGCTGACTTAAATCTTCTTGTCTCTGTTCCCACAATGGCAGCCCTTAGCGTGGGCTACTGTTGTTCTTGCTTGCCTATGGTCTCCTCAGCTGAATGCTGACCTCCTCCAGGTGGGAGAGGCTGTGTCTCACCCTTCCTGCCTCAGTGCTCAGCCCAGCACCCCCATATCATCCACTCTCCACACAGCAACAGAGGCATTTTTTTAAAACCCAGTTTTTTTTTTTTTTTAACACTCCTCTGCTTAAAGCCATCTGGCTACTATCTATTACATTTAGAATAAAAGCCTCAATCCTGACCATGGCCTAGAAGGGCCTGCATGATCTCCTCTCTGCCCCCTCCCTGCCCCTGGCGGCTGCTGCTCTCCCCTCACTCACTCCACCTCCCATCTGTCCCCATGCAGTCCAGGCTCACATTAGGGCCTCTGCCAGAGCGATTTCCTCTGCCTGGAGTGTGCTGCCCCACGTTGTCACATGACTGACTTTTGTCATTCAGGCCTCAATTCCATGTCACTAGTTCACACAGGCCTTCTCTGTCTGTCTATTTTCACATTTGCTTTTCAATTGTTATCAATGACTGTGCCTACTGTGGGTCTGTAAGCCCCATGAGAACAGAGATTAGCATGCCTTGTTCTGCTGTATCACCATCACTTGGAATGGTGCCCGACACAGAATAGCCATTCAATGAGTAAGCGTCTTGAAGGAAGAGGAGATGCTCACCAAGTCCCTTTGGGATCTTACATATTGCAGTTCAGCTAGGCCCAGGTAATATACTGCATCTAAGTCAGTCTCATCCCAAGCTGATAGCTGGGATAATTTCACAAGCTGGGATGCCCTATCTTGATCACTTGTCTATGTCTGGACTGCAATCACACTCCCAGAACAAGGCACTTGTTTTTTTTTTTTCTGGAGACAGAGTCTTGCCTTGTTGCCCAGGCTGGAGTGCAGTGGCATGATCTCAGCTCACTGCACCCTTCGCCTCCTGGGTTCAAGGGGACTTTTATTGGCTCTTATTGGCTTTTAATGGCTGACTTCCCTTCACCAAGGATGCTAAGAGCTCTTTGCGTGTGCTCTGAATTTTCTACCTACGACTTGGGGAAACTTGTGAGACACTGCCCTCCCCATTTGATAGGCAGGGGCTTCCCTGAAAAGTGGAAAGCCTGACTGGCAGAATCAGAGCCCCAGAGCCCAGTCAGGACACACATACCCATCATGGCCATCACATTTCATCAGTAATGGGGAGAATTTATGTTCTCAAAAGGCACAAGAGCTCTGAGTCCTTCCAGAGCCTGAGCCAAATACTACTCATTTAGCACCTCCAAGGAGCTGAGGTCTGTGAGCTAGGTGTGCAGCCAAATTCAGGGCAAATCGGAAAAGGAAGGCCTCATATGCATCTGGTTAAGAAAAGCAGGGCTGGCAAAAATCCACAAAAATGAGATCTGGGCTTCTGACTGTGCAGCCTTTTGCTCATGAGAACTAAGGGGCCAGCTGGGAGGTTAACACAGCAGCCAGAAAGAAGGTGCCACCAAGATCAAGTTACTTAGAAAGTATATGGAAGGGGCTGGGTGGGATGGTTCATGCCTTTAATCCCAGCAGCATTTAGGGAGGTGAGACAAGAGGATCACTTGAGCCCAGGAGTTTGAGACCAGCCTGGGCAACATAGTGAGACTCCATTTCTACAAAAAAAATAAAAATAAAAAAAATAAAAAAAATAGCTGGGCATGGTGGTGCATGCCTGTAGTCCTAACCACTTGGGAGGCTGAGGAGGGAGGACCCCTTAAGCCCAGGAGTTTGAGGATACAGTAAGCTGTGATTACTATATATATATATATATATATATATATATATATATATGAAATTTGCAAAGGGATCTCAAAGATCAAGACCAACTGTCATACATTGCCATCTTCTTGAGAACAAAGAAGGGTATTTCTTGCCCCCCTTCCTTTTCCACCTTCCAGCCTCTTTGAGCTAGAGAAGAAAATGGGATCTTAAGTTTATGAGTTCAAAGATCTCGGTTCTGGTCTCTGCACCATGGAACTTTGGGCCATTTTCTCCCCATTTTTTACCCCCTCTTCCTCATTTGTAAAATGTGGCTATTGGGCTTGATGATTTCCAAATCAATGATTTCCATAATGCTAAGCTTTCTAGCCTTAGGAACTCACGATTCAGATTACTTTGAAAGAGAAGCTCTTGCTTTTTCTCTGTAGAGTTTGATTTGTCTTTAGTAATTGGTCTAAAGCCCACTGTAGGTAGTGGACATGAACAATTCTGGCATGGTAAAACCTGTTGAGTGTTGATGCATCCCTTGTTTATTTCTGAAACAGTTTCTTTTAATGCATGTGGCTCATCACTATAGTGTGGCTTCTCAAAACATTCTGCAAAGGACAGAAATGTTCAGAATGAATTGAGGTAGAAAGGTCATGATTTGAGTTAGTGACTTCCAAGGCTGTCCAGTATCTGCATGGCAGAAGTTGTACTGATGTTAAAATCCCTCTGTATGAAATGATGTGATGTCTTGGGTTTGCTTCCAAATAAGTCAGTGTGAGTGTGTGCGCATGTGATGAGAGTGGATGTGGGTGTGTGTGATGAGAGTGGGTGTGGGTATAAATGAAACAAAATTGGCCAACTGTTGAAGCTGAATGATGGGTATGTGGGGGGTTATTATACTATTCTTTCTATTTTTCTAAATATGTTTGAAGGATTCCATCCATAAAAGGCTCTTTGGAGACCGGCTCCAGCCTTTCTCTCCACTCTCATCTTTCAGTCCACATCCTGAGGACCCTCTGGCACAGTGACATTGCCTTGGTGGCTGGGACTTCACATCTCTTGGCCTTGACACACAGCTCTGTCTGCCTGGGGTCATTTTCCTGGTCTTTCCTTACAGTTCGTGACTCCTGCTTCTGAGATCCCACAGCCCAGTTGCCTTGATACTTATCATAACATATTGCAACTGTTTGTTTCCTTTTCTGGCCTGTGACCTCCTCAAGCTACTTCTCTGCCTCCCCAGTGCACAGCCAGTGCCTGGTATATAACAGGTCCCCAGTACAAGTTTACAGAAAGTATGATAGCAGTCATGGGATCTACCATTTTTTGAGCATTTACTATGTGCCACTAAGCTCATTACATGGCTCTCTCATTAAATTCTCATCGAAGTGGGTATTATTGATCTTCTCATTCCTCTTTAATAGCTGAAGATAGTCTCAGACAGTCACTTGCCCAAGGTCATATGCTAGTAAGTAAACCACTCTGCTATTCTCCTTGCATGTGGGATTTTAAAAGACTTCTCTATGAATGTTATGCAACAGGCCCAGGAGTTAGAGAGCCCGGGTTTTAGGCCCAGCTTTGCTACTAAATTGCTGAGTGACCTTGGGCGAATCACCCCTGCCCCCTAGGCCTTGTCTTCCGCGGAGACAATCAGTGATCTAGAGTGTCACGTGATCCGAGGGCCCTCCCAGCCTCAGCTCTCAGAGAAAAGGTTTCTCTTCCACGTATGCTTTCCTGCCGCGGAACTGGCTTCCCTGTTTGGGAACCTCCCGGCTTCACAGACGCCCTCAACCTTTTTTCTTGCTAATTGCAACCTCCCAGGTCTAAGCCGAGTTCGCAACCTGCTGTCTGGGTCGCCCCCTCCCCCCTGCCTTCTCTGCCGTCTGGGATTTCTCTGGAGGTGGGGGCGGAACCCGGGGAGTGAGGGAGAGAGGGAGCCTGGAGCTGTCCCGTTCGTGAGGCTTCCCCGCGGCTTCTCAGCCCCCTCCCCCTACGGAAACTCAGCCTCACACTTTCTAGGGATGTTCCGGGGACAGCCGGAGTCAGTGATTGCAGCTGCCAGCCGCGGGCTTCTGTGCAGGGCTCTTGGAAGTCCGCGATTCTGAGCTGGGATGGGGTGGGGGTCTGGAGGGAAGACGGGGCGGCGCACTCCTTCCTCCCCGCCGGGACCTCAGCCTAGGCCCAGCCCGCCTAGCGGAGCCGGGACCGTTCTGTGCCTGTTTCCCCTCTACCTCTTGCCCACTCTTAGCTGGGCCCCGCCATTGCACGGCCAGGCCTCGGCGGGCGGCGGACCCAAGCCGGAGACGCGCGGCTGTGCTAGGCCCCCGCCTAGCTCGCCGGTGACACCTCTCTGGGAGAAGCTGAAATCCCCCGATCGATGCGGCCTCACGCCACCCCTAGGCGCGCTGGGGGCCCCAGACCCGCGGCTTTGTTCGCGGTTCGCGGTGCCGCCGGAGAGAGCTGTCCGCCGCCGCGGTGCTAGCGTTGGGAGCGGCCCGCGGGGGCGAGGGACGGTCCTTAGCAGCCGCGCGGAACCAGGGCGGAGGGTGCGGAGGAGCCCGCCCGGCCGCCGCTGTCCGCCGCTGCAGTGCTGACCCGATAGGGACCCGGTGCGGCGCGGGAGCTGTCCCCGAGATGGTGCTGGAGCGAGAAGCCCGAGGCGCCCTCTGCCTCGCCCCGGAAGAGCCGCCGGCGGCTGAGAGCTCCAGGGAGGGGGAGAGGCCGGAGGAAGCCGCCTCTAGGAAGCTCTCGAGCGCGGGGCCTGTGGCCGGGGTCTCTCCGCCAACCGCTCCCGCGGAGGAGGGCGGCTCAGCCACAGGGAGCGAGCGCGCGTTCTACGAACCTGTTGGAGGCTGCAGCTCCTCCGCGGCCGACGAGGGCGCCCGGGCCGAGGTTCTGGCGCGTTTCTCCCTCCCCCTCTTCCTTGACTCCTCCGCCGAGGCGCTCCCTCCTGCCTGGGCTAGCACACGTGCACGCGGGGGGCGCCAAGCCCCGTTTCTGTCCGCCTCGAATGCCTGCCGAGCTGCAGGGCACAGAGCCCAGAGGCCTCCCCCTAAGGGCAGACCCGCTCCCAGGGAGACCCAAGCTTCCCGAGAAAGGAGGCGGGGGCTGGCGGCGGAGATGAGAGAGGACGCCAGCAGAGGTGGCAGTGAAATCAAGGAGACATGGGAGAGTTCCCACCCAGGCAGTTCTGCCCTGAAGTTCGAGGACTTGGGGGTCTGCCACTAGGGCATCCTGACTTAGAAATATCTCTCACTCTCCATTTCTGTGACCAGCAACCAAATGCAGGTCTACCTACCTGCTCTGTTGCCAACCCCACTCACTGGCCTGACTGCCGCTAGTACTTCATTCCAGGTTGTCTTTTACCATGTCCCAGAGAAAGCTCTCTAAACTAACTTTTTGACGAGATCCTTCACTAGCAAGACAAGCTATGTGCCCATCATGACAGAGGACCACTTACTCTGAACAGGCTCACCCCAGGGCCTTAGCACCTGCCCTTCCCTTTGGCTGAGACTTTCTCCCTTCCTTACTACTTATGCTTTATCTGCAAGTGAAAGCATCCTCATTTTCCATGCAAATTTTCCTGGCCCCTAAGGCACAGTCAGTCACCGCCTCCTCTAGGATCCCTCAGCCTTTACAACCCTCCACTACACTTCTCATCATATTGTGTTACTCATGCACCTCTATCCTCAGTTGCCAGGCTAATAAAAACTAGTTCCATATTTTATGTTTCTCTGTATCTTCATCTCCTAGCATGGTGACTGGCACACAATAGAGGTTGAGTTATATCTGCTGAATGAATGTACACATGAGAAGCAGAGGGCAAAATAACTTCCTTTTCTTCATGTAATTGCTCATTTGATTTCTTTTCTTTCTTTTTTTTTTTTTTTTTGAAACGGAGTCTTGCTCTGTCGCCCAGGCTGGAGTGCAAGGCGTGATCTCAGCTCACTGCAACCTCTGCCTCCCGGGTTCGAGTGATTCTCCTGCCTCAGCCTCCAGAGTAGCGGGGACTACAGGCGCGTGCCATCACACCCGGCTAATATTTTGTATTTTTAGTAGAGATGAGGTTTCACCATGTTAGCCAGGATTGTCTCAATCTCCTGACCTCGTGATCCGCCCGCCTCAGCCTCCCAAAGTGCTGGGATTACAGGCATGAGCCACCGCACCCAGCCTGATTTCTATTTTTTGAATCACAGACTGCGAAGCTCCGCGTACAACATCCGTGCCCAACCCTCCTGCCTCCTCATGACCCACTCTCCCCGTCTCAGTAATTCCTCCTACAATGGCCTCCATTTTGTACCAAGGTATTTTTAAAGTTTTTTTTTTTAATTTTATTTGCTGTTTTATTTGCTTGGGACCCTCATCATCTTGATCTTTATATGGCTGAATACTTGTCATTTGAATTTCAGCCCAAATGTCACCTTGTCAAAGAGGCCTTCTCTGGCCACCTACCTAATGCTTCCTCCCCCAATCACTCTATAACATTACCTGTTGCATTTTTTCTTTTCTTCTTTTTTTTTGTAGTACTTATTACTCTCTGAAATTATTTTATTTATATGTTTACCTGTGTATCATTCACTTTCCCTCAACTAGAATTCAAACGCAACCAGAGCAAGGATCCTGTCTGTCAAGCTTACTGCAGTGTTCTCAGTGGTTAGCATTCTGAGAGAAACTGAACTTACACCAATGCACCAATAGTCCCTTTCTCCTTGGAAAGGCTTGAGCCACTTTGCAGGTCATTTTAAAGTCTTCTATTAGGCACAAATCATCTACGAATGTTTAAGGAAAGAGGATCAAACTGATACTCCATGAGATAGGGAAGGAGAGAAAGGAGAGAGCCCCTTTACCTAGATATGTGGCATAGATAAAGTGACAAACCTGGACCATAGCCCCTTTTCACCCCAGATGGCAGAAGCATAGCAATTCACTCCTACACATCATTTAAAGTAATTTCAAATTCACTATCTCACTTGATATTTCTGACAACCTTATCTGGTAAGCATTATTCTCCCCATTTTATGCCAAATCAACTGAGGCCAAAAGAGGCAGACAGACTTGAACAAGGTCACACAGCTTGTAAATACTGACGCTGTTCTTGATACAGTGCTACATGTTGGGGATCTACAACTATGACATAGTTTCTGAATTTCCTGGTAGTAGGAGACCCAAGCACATACACATTGGATTATAATACAATTTGATAATTGCTCAACAGTGATTCTCAACCTGGAGAGGCATGGGGTAGGGTGGGGAAGAAGTGGATAGGCTGTCAAAATCAGAATAAAATGGAACTCTTTTCAATAACAATGATGATAATTTGTTGAGTGCTTCCCAGATGTCAGGTACTGTACTATTTTATGTACTTTGTCTCAACGAGTCATTCTTTCTTTTTCCTATTCCCTTTTCACAGAGGAAACTGTCTTAGGGAAGTTAAGTAACATGGCCAAGCTCATGGAGCTGGTAAACAACTGAGCTGGGGCTTAACCTGAGTTTTTTTGACTCAAAGCCTGAGCTCTTAATCATTATGCACCCCAGACCTATTGAATCTGAACTTCTGGTGAGCAGTATGGGCCTGGGATTTGAAGATGATTTTAGGTCATTCTGATATATCTTGGCCTTTACTGAGAAATGCTCATGGAAGGGATGAACACTGCCTGTTAGGAGGAGTTACAGGAGGGTGAAATTGGAACCTAAAGGATTAAGTGGGGGTTTTACAGGCAGACAAAAGGAAGAAAATATGTCAGATAGAGGAAATGGAATATTTAAGAGCCTTGGGGTGTGAAAATGAAGGGACTGCTATAGGTTCGGTGTGGATGACTGTAAAGCTGATGTAGGGAATAGGGGATGGGAAATTAGGCAGGAATTGGTTTGGACTTGGCTGCCATGCCTCTATTCCATAGGCAGCAGAGAACTGTTCAACAACTGCTTTAACAACTGCCACTACCCCTGATCATCCCCACAGCAACAGCATTGAATCAATACTTTACAATTTGCAAAGTGCTTTAATAGTGCGCCATCCCTGTGAGCTTGTTCTCATTGTCCCCTAGCACCCAGTAGAGAACCTGAGACAGTGTAGGTGATCAGTATTGGTTGAAGAGGAAAAAATTGGACACAGATGGGAGTCTAGCTTAAAGGCTGCTGCAATAATTCAAAGGGATGAGCAGTATCACTTAATCTAGGAGTGCACAACTCTGGACTATGTACTCTGGAAAGTTGAAGTGTATTGCCCCTTATCTCCAAGCACTTTGGGGAGGCTGGAATTTAGCTCTCCAAAATGGTTGCTGAATAATCGTAACGATTTTCCTCTCCCATATACAGAAAAGCATATTAGCACCTAGACAGCCAATGCCCAGCTAAGCCAGGATTTCCTCTGTTGTATATATGCACTTGATGTCTTTTGGCTCCTGGATTTTGGTCCTGATGGACTTTATTATGTGGCAATAACATTATATGCCATCATTTGTTTCCTTGATTTAAAGGGCAATCACCATGCTAATTAAACAGTCTTGGCACAAGAACTAAAATCTACCTTCTGTCTCTTCATCCCTCGGGGAAGTCCACACAGACCCTGAAAATGGCTAACTTACAGAGGGCTGAATTGTATCAGGGACTTTTGAAGCCCTTGAAACATATTAACCCAGTGAGGTAGGTTTGACTCTCATCCTCACTTCACAGATGAGTAAGAAAGAAGTCAAGGCTAGGCACCATGGCTCACACCTGTAATCCCAGCACTTTGGGAGGCCAAGGCAAGTGGACTGCCTGAGGTCAGGAGTTCAAGACCAGCCTGGCTAAGATGGTGAAACCCCATCTCTACTAAAAATACAAAAATTAGCCAGATGTGATGGTGCACGCCTGTGTTAGTCCCAGCTACTAGGAGGTGGAGGTTGCAGTGAGCCGAGATTGTGCCACTATATTCTAGCCTGCATGACAGAGTGAGACTCTGTCTCAAACAAACAAACAAACAAGCAAATAAAAAACAAACAAAAAAACTAGACAGTATATACGCTTTTGAATTTGGCTTTTTTCTTTTGCTCAATATTATGTTTTTGAGATTCATCCATGTTGTTGCCTGGGTCAGCAATGTTACTTTTCATGCTGTGTAGTATTTCACTATATGAATACACCTCAGTTTGTTGATGGAGTTTTTCATTGTTTCCAAGTTTTGTGTAAATCTTTTGGTACATATATGCAAGCATTTTGGTCAGTTATTTTCCCAGAAGTGGAATTTCTGGGTAAGGTATGCATATACTTAGCTTTAGTCCATACTCCCAAATAGTTCCCCAAAGTGGGGATACCAGTTGCTGTTGTTTATTTATTTTTTTCTTTTTTGAGATAGAGTCTCGCCCTGTTGCCTAGGCTGGAGTGCAGTGGCATGATCTCAGCTCACTGCAACCTCCGCCTCCCAGGTTCAAGTGATTCTTGTGCCTCAGCCTCCTGAGTAGCTGGGACTACAGGCACCCGCCACGACACCTGGCTAATTTTTTGTATTTTTAGTAGAGATGGGGTTTCACCATGTTGCCCAGGCTGGTCTCGAACTCCTGAGCTCAGGCAATCTGGCTGTCTTGGCCTCCCAAAGTGCTAGGATTACAGGTGTGAGCCACCACACCCAGCCAAGGGATACCAGTTTTAATCCTGTATGCTGTGCCTGAGAGTTCTAGTTGCTCCATTGCCTCACCAACACTTGGTATTGTCAGTCTGTTTTTAATTTTAGCCATTCTATGATATTTAGCGGTTCTAATTTTAATTTACCTAATGACTAATGAAGTAATTTTTCACGTATTTAATGATTATTTGAAAACCTTCTTTTGTAAAGTACCTGTTAATGACTTTTGTCAACTTTTCTATTGTGATATATATATTTTTTCTTGATTAGTAGGACTTTTATATCTATTCTGGGTAGGGATACTTTGAGATTATATGTATTGTAAATATCTTCTCCCATCAGGTGGTTTGCTACTTTCCCTCTGTTGGTGGTGTCTTTTGATAACCAAAAGTCGCTAATTTATTAAAGTTTAATTTATCTATTTTAAAGCACTTTTTGTTTTCTGTTTAATTTTTGCCTATCCCAGATTATGAAAATATTCTCTTTGTTATCTTATAGAATCTTTATTGTTTTACTTTTTATATTTATATTTGTAGTCCACATTGAATTTATTTTAGTATATGGTATAAAGTATTGGTTATGATTTTTGTAACCCATATCATTACCCTATTGATACAGCACCATTTATTGAAAGAAAGACTATTTCCCATTTCTGCTCTGTGTACTATCTTTGTTATAAATCAAGTACCCACATGTTTTAGTCCATTTTGTGTTGCTGTAACAGAATATCTGAGGCTGGGTAATTTATAGAGAAAAGTGGCTTATTTGGCCCACAATTCTGGTGGATGAAAAGTCCAAGCTTGGGCAGCTGCCTCTGGTGAGGACCTCATGCTGCTTCAATTCATGGCATAAAGTGGAAGGAGAGTGGGCATTGCAAAGAGGTCATATGGTAAGAGAGGAGACGAGAGAGCAAAGCCAAGGAAGCCAGACTCTTTTTAACAACCCAGTCTCTGGGGGAACTAATACATTCCTGTGAGAGCAGGAACTCACTCACCCCCGTGGGAGGACATTGATCTATTCAAGAGGGATCCTCCCTCACGACCCAAACACCTCCCACTAGGCCCCACCTTCCAACACAATCACATTGGGGATCAAATTTTATCATGAGTTTTGGCAGGGACAAAGCATATCCAAACAATTAGCACTATATTTGTGTGGGTCCGATGTGGCTTGTATCAAACAGATCAAGTTACTAGCCTCTTGATAAAAATTTCTTTCTTTCTTTTTTTTTTTTTTTGAGACAGAGTCTCACTCTGTCACCCAGGCTGAAAGTGCAGTGGCACGATCTTGGCTCACTGCAAGCTCCGCTTCCTGGGTTCACGTCATTCTCCTGCCTCAGCCTCCCCAGCAGCTGGGACTACAGGCGCACACCACCAAGCCTGACTAATTTTTGTATTTTAGTAGAGACGGGGTTTCACCATGTTAGCCAGGTTGGTCTCGATCTTCTGACCTTGTGATCCACCTGCCTCGGCCTCCCAAAGTGCTGGGATTACAGGTGTGAGCCACTGCGCCTGGCCGCTAAAAATTTCTAATGGTATTTTTCCTGTTGAACTTAGAATGAAATCCAAACTTTTTACAATGGCCTTCAAGGTTTTGCATAATTTGGTGCCACCTGTTTTTTTTAATTTTATTATTCCATTAGTTACCCTGATGCTCACTCCACACTAGCTGCAGTTGCTTTGTGTACCTTGAACACATACCTTTCATTCTCAGCTCTGGGCCTTAGCTCCTTCCAGGAGTGCCTATTCTTCAATATTCAGGCCTTCGTGTCAATGTTTATTTCTCAGAGAAAGTTGAACTGCTTGCTCTTTAAAATAGCCTCTTCTTGCCCCAAGTTACACTATATGATTACCTTGTTTTATTTTTGATAACACACGCTACTCCTCGAAACATCTTATTTATGTTTATTTTCTGTTTCTTTCACTAGAATGTAATGTCCATGAGAGCAAGGACCATATCTGTTTTGTTTATCTCTGAACCCATAGCTAAAATGCTAAAATGCTATGGTAAGGACATTGGGTCTTAGTCTGTTTTGTGTTGCTACAACAACATACCTGAGACTGAGTAACTTATAAAGAACAGAAGTTTATTTTCTCATAGTTTTGGAGGCTGGGAAGTGCAAGAACAAGGCACTGCATCTGGTGAGAGCCTCCTTGCTGTGCCCTCACATGGCAGAAGGTGGAAGGACAAAAGGGATGAATTCTGTTCTCACATGGCAGAAGAGCAGAAGAGACAGAACTCACTCCCACAAGCCCTTTTTATAGTGGCTTTAATCTGTTCATGAGGGCAAGGCCTCATGACCTAAAAGCCTTCCCCAAAGGCCCCACCTCCCAGTGCTATTGCACTGAGGATTAAGTTTCCAGCACATGTATTTTGAGGACACATACAGACCATAGCACCCACAGTGCTGGCAAAAGTAGCTCAATGCTTGTTTGTTGAATTAGTGAGAATGACACTTTTTCCACTCTAATTTCCATGTCATGTAGCTCTAGTGTCAATGCAATAAACGGCATCTCAAAACTTCTAGCATTGTGCGACACACGACTGGGTAGGTAGACAATTTCCAACATCATCAATTTTGCACCTGACTTATTTTCCTATTGTTATTGATATTCTTAAACCCCAGTTGTTATAATTTCAGCAAATCAATTTATATTAATTTTTTTGAGGTGAAAAGAAGGAAAACTGATACTTCTTAAATGTTTATTACATCTCATTCAATTCTCAAAACAGCCATATGAGAGAAGGCGTTATCACCCCCAGTTAACAGATGAAGAAATGACGACTCAGAGAGACAAGTATAGCTAGTGCTCACAAAAGTAGTTGGATTACATATAATTACTCTAATGAAGCTGGTTCAAACCCATTTCAGAATATGCTATTGAAATCACGGCACATGCAATGGAAGCATTTAGCAGGTGGTTTAAATATTGGCTTTGGGGGACCTAACCCTGAGTTCTAGGCATGGTCTTACCCCTCATCAACTTTGTGACACTGGGCAAGCCAGATGGAACTCAGTTTCCTCTCTGTAAAATGGGAATACAATAAAACTACTTCTTAGCATTTATTGAGAGGATTAAGTGGTAATATGACCACAAGTGCTTGCATTTAAGAAGAGCTCAGTATATGGAGGCTGCTATTATTATTGCTAGTGTTGTATATAGTAATTTCAGTTTGCTCTTTCAAGATGTTGCTGAGGAGTTGCAATAGGAGATAAGATGCCCAGAGGTAATTAATGCAGTTTTGCGGTTGTATGTGAACTCCTTCAAACCAGTACTTGAGTGAGTGACCCTATTCTGATGTGAAAGATTAATGCAGTTTTGCGGTTGTATGTGAACTCCTTCAAACCAGTACTTGAGTGAGTGACCCTATTCTGATGTGAAAGAAGAACATTCCTAGCATGTTTCCACTCCTTGTGGAGAGGAAGGTAGCAGGTTCAGAGAGGTGAAGTGACGCACCCAAGGCCACAGAGCTTGTATGCATGCCAAAATTCATCTGACTCTCAAGCTTTGGTACAATTCAAGTCACGAAGGTGCTTGGTCCCCTCCCCTGGGTTCTGAACTCACAGCCCCTCCCTTCTCCACTGTGTCTGCCACAAGGATAAAGAAAATCCACAGATAATCCCTAAACCTCATTTGAAGCCAATAATCACATCCATTTATCTCCTTTCCAAGCTGCTTATTGCATCGGTGGATAAGAGGTCTGCTGATCGGTGTCCACAGCCTCTCTGGGCTCTGCCTGGCTGGGAGTAGGGGATGTTCTAAGGACTGGGTGGGAGGCAGAGTCCTACGCTACAGTGAAAACAGCAGACAATCAGACCCTGACTCACGGTCTAGGAGTGGCATTGAGGGGCCGGAATACCATAATATCCATAGCTCTCTCAACTGAGAGACAAGTACTTTGTGATCATTTATCCAGTGAGAGAGTAATAGCTCTCTGAGCCTCAGTTTCCCTATCTGCAAAAGAGAGACAAGGAGATTTGTGTGGCGTGGTCCTTGTGAACATTCAGTGATATGATGTATGTGTAGCAGGGTGTTAGTGGACTGTTTATATTTCAATGTCAGCTGAAGCCACAGAGACCAGAAATAAAATGTATATGCCAAGCAGCCTCAGGCAAAGTGAGGTGCCAGTCTACCAATGAAAGATATACTAATTGATTTTGAAACAATTTTGACCAGGCTTGAGGGCATACAAAGTTGAAGTTAAAGAGAGAAGGAAAGGGGATTTCTTTGGAATTAGTGGAGTGCTGGGTATCACGCCATCCCATCACTGTCATGGGGAGGGAGAGGAGCACCCCAAGAGTGAGAGGTAGGCTGGGAGTGGTAGCTTACACCTGCAATACCAGTGCTTTGGGGGGCTGTGGTGGGAGAATCACTTTAGGTCAGGAGTTTAAGACCAGTCTGGACAACATAGTGAGACCTCATCTCTAGAAAATATACATATATATATTTGGTGCATGCCTGTAGTCCTAACTACTTGGAAGGCTGAGCTTGGAGAATTGCTTGAGCCCAGGAGTTCGAAGTTGTAGTGAGCTGTGATTATGCCACTGCATCCAGCCTGGGGGACAGATCAAGACCCTGTCTCTTAAAACAAAAGGAAAAGGTAAAAGGGGCTTCAAGGTTAGCTCTTGGAGAGTCTCATCTGGGTTTCCTGAGATTGGAGAGTCCTTGGGCTGGTGTCACCCCTGTCTGGAAGAGAGTCATTACATGACAGTCTTGATAGGATTCATTATTTCAACAAATATTTGTTGAGTACCCTAGGGGGCCAAGAATAGTTCTAGATGCTTAGAATTCATCAATGGATAAAACCGAAAATCTCTATCTTTGAAAATTTCATCTTCTCATGGAACAGGGAGACATATAATAAATCCATAAATATGTAAGACATTTGTTGTGATAATTGTTATCATACAAATTTTAAAAAAGTTAAAACAGAGATGGTGCTAGAAGTACTGGAGATGTTGATTTTTTTTTTCCTGGGAGGTCAGAGAAGACCTTGCTTATAAGGTGTTATTTAAGTAGAAACTTCAAAGAAATGAGAGAATAAGCCCTGTGGGTAAGAAGCAGGGACCAGGTGGAGTGTGCCTCATACATCTGTGGAACTGTGAAGAGTGTAGGTGGCTGGAGTAGAGTGAATGAGGGGAAAGTGGTTGGAGGGAGAGGTCAGAGGAATGGAAGTGAGGGAGCTAAAATGCTATGATAAGGACATTAGGTCTTAGGTGGTATTCAGTAAACACTGGATGATGAAAGGCAAGAACAGAGGGAAGGAGGGAGGCAAGGGACTTAGAGTCTGGTTGGAGTTGGTTTGGATACAGCCAGGGAATCTGCCTAGTGGAAAATAACGGTACTATCAGGGGGCCTGAGGGTGGGTCATGCCATCAGCCAGACTCACCAACGATCGAATTCAGGGTGCCCAGAACCAAGGGCAGCATGAAACAGGCTGTCCTGGTGGGCATATGTGTGTACTGAGTAGGGGATGAAGAACTTGGGCTCGGTCTGTGTTTTGCCATTTGGGGGCAGCTTTGAGTTTGGTTTTCTAGAAACTCATCTTCCAGGAAGTCAATGACAAGGCCAGGAAAAAAATATAGACCTTAGGAGTTCAAATCTCATCTCTATCACTGATCTGTTATGCGTTCTTGGCCAGAACCTCAGTTTGGTAATCTAGACATTGGAGTTACTAGTATCTACCTTTCAGAGAAAATGTGGGGCTCCAAAGAAGTAATGGATGAAAAGGAACTGTTCAAAAGTGTGCATGAAAACTTATGTTCATAAAAAAACCGGAACACAGATGTTTATAGCAGCTTTATTCATGATTTTGCAAAAACTTGGAAGCAGCCAAGATGTCCTTCAGTAGGTGAATGGATAAATAAACTGTGGAACATCCAGACAATGAACATTATTCAGTGCCGAAAGGAAATGAGATGTCAAGCCATGAATAGACATGAAGGAAACTTAAGTGCATGCTAAGTGAAAGAAGCCAGTCTGAAAAGGCTATATATTGTGTAATTCCAACTATATGACATTCTGGAAAAGGCAAAACTATGGAGACAGTAAAAAGATCAGTGGTTGCCAGGGGTTGGGGTAGAGAGGAATGAATCAGTGGAACACAGGGGATTTTTAGGGCAGTGAAACTACTCTGTATGATACTACAATGGTGTATACTTGTCATCATACATTTGTCTAAATCCACAGAATGTGCAACACTGAGTAAACCCAAATGTAAACTATAGGCTTTGGGTGATAATGATGTGTCAATGTAGGCTCATCAAATGCAACAAATATACCCTCTGGTGGGGAATATTGATAAGTTGGTAGGCAATGCTTGTGTGGGTGCAGAGGGTATGTGGGATATCTCTGCATCTCCACTCAATTTTGCTGTGAACCTAAAACTGCTCTAAAAATTAAAGTATATATATGTATATTTTAAAGAGTTGTGCAAACATGCATTATTATGACCATTTTGAGGTCAGTTAAATATTTTAATGTGTTCTCTATCCAGGAAACATGTGGAGCTTGCAGTTTGGGGTCAATTTCTAGCCTTCTAACACTCATTTCCCCTTTCCTAAGAGTATCTTGCATTTCTCATCCATGTAGGTTAGCTATTATTGACTCCATTCCCAGAGGGTACACCCAATTAGCTTAAACCAACCAGTATCTCTCATCCTCCTGACCACAGAGATTACATATGGATTAACCAATGACATATCATCCAAATCAGCCAACCAAGACAATAAGACTCAACTCTGACACTTTTATTGAGTCACTGGGGAGTGGACTTGTGTGGAGATATTGACAGATGATCCTATGATCAGGAGGGGAGCCAGCTTTAGGATGAGACCTTTAGGATGAGGGTACTGAATTCTTGGTGGCATCATTGAGTGTCTGGATCAAGCCTTACCTGAAGCTAGATCTACCTCTGTCTTTTGCAATTCTATCAGTTGCCTAATTTCATTTATTTTTTAACCATTTCGAGTTGGGCTTTTTGATATTTTCAATATAATGAGTTCTAACTGCTATATAGTGGGTTCTGAGGCCCCAAAGTTTGGTTTAAAAAAAGTTTGGATTTAGAATTTCCTAATGTGAAGTTGTATCTATAAACTTCCTGCACCAAGACCCATCCCCAAGGCAGTGTGAAATTTTTCAGTACAGGTTGAGCATTCTAAATCCAAAAACTTGAAATAAAAAAATACTTCAAAATCTGAAACTTCTTGAGAAAACAAAAAGCTCATTGAAGCATTTCAGACTTTAAATTTTCAAATTAGAAATGCTTAGCCGATAAGTATAAAGTAAACATTCCAAAGTCCAAAAAAGCCTGAAACACTTCTGGTCCCAAGATTCTCAGATAAAGGATGTTCAACTTGTATCAGATTCCCTTGACTATGGCATTGTTAATTGCTGCTTGCTTTTCTTTGTGATAATTGGGACCCATCTGGCAGAAATTTCAGCATTGCACTGTGGCATTGGGGACTGGATAGAATTGGTCTGGGTTATTTCCCTGGATGAGGCTGATATAATCCAAGTACACATATAGAATGGAGAGGAAAGCCAAGGATAACACAAGGGAAGAGGAGGAAGAAAGATGAACTAAGGAGGTGGCGACAAGTGGGAGGCAGAGTGGGAGGCAGGATGGGGGAGTAGAGTGCACCTGGAGCTTTGGAGTGAGGCAGCCATCTTTGATGCTCTTTCTCAGTGAGTGCAAGCAGGGGCTGGGCATTTGCTGAAGGATGGGCAAGCTGGAGCTAAAAGAGGATCCTGAGAGATTGGTGAACATCTTCCTCCTCTGGTACTAGGAAAAAGCAAGTCTGGCCGGCAAAATACCACAGCCAAAGACACAATAACAGGTTGTGTTCCAGGCATATAGAAGAGGTTATTGGTTTCTGTTATGGCTAATTTTCTGCATCAACTTGACTGGACCTTAGGATGCCCAGATAAATGGATAAACATTATTTCTGGGTGTGTCTGTGAAGATGTTTCTGGAAGTGATTAGCATTTGAATTGGTTGACCAAGTAAAGCAGATGGCCTCCCCAATATGTGTGGGCATCACCCATCCATTGAAGACCTGAATAGAATGAGAAAGGGGAGGAGGAGCAAATTAACTCTGCCTGACTGCTTGAGCTCAGGCATCAATCTTCTCCTGCCTTCTGCCCTCCAGTTCTCAGGCCTTCAGACCTGACTCAAATCTATGCCATCAGCTTTCTGGTTCTCAGGCATTCAAACTACACCACCAGCTTTCCTGGGTCTCTAGCTTGCAGATGGCAGATAGTGGGACTTCTCAGCCTTCATAATTGTGTGAGCCAAAACCTTATAATAAATCTCTTCATATATATGAATATATATGTGTGTGTGGTTTCCAGAGAAACAGAACCTATATATATATGTATATATATACATACACACATTTATACACACACTTATATATAAATATGTTCTGTCTCTCTGGAGAACCCTGACTAATAAAGTTTCCTAAGAATAACTGGGAACCAGAAAAAAGTTCCCACTCAATACAAACCACTTTGAGTAGGGATTAAAATTTTGGCATAAAGGCAGGTTCATAGATTTGACTTGGGCTTTGTCAACAGTTAAAAATATGAAATAAAGTAATGATATCGTATATTTAACAAATCATAGGTCATAATTGAAACTATGAGCTGATTTTAAGGACAAACAAGAGTTGAATCAAATGTTGATGATCTTAAGAGTGTATATTTTTTTCCAGTAAAGTTGTTGGGCAGCTCATTACTACTGCCTATATGTTTCATTCGGTTTTTACAGTATACTTATCAAGAGAATCATTTCTTGCACAAACATTCATGGACTTTAAAATTTTTCACAAGGGTATCTCTTAATACTTTGAGATCACAAGTATTCTCTCTGAAGTGCTTTTGCATTCATTTGCATGGTGTTCCAGTTACTTTGGCTACATAATAAACCATCCCAAAACTTAGTGGCTTGAAAAAACAACAGTTATCTTTTTAGCTCACAAATCTGCCATTTAGGCAGGGGCTGGTGGAGAAGTGTAGTCTCTACTCCACATGGGGATGCTTGATAGGACTAGAGGGCCCACTTGCAGAATTGCTCACTTGCATGGTGGGCAAGTAGGTGTTGACTCTCAGTTGGGAGCCCAGTAGGAGCTGAGAAGGGAGGGTGCCCTTGTTTCTCTCTAGCTTAAGCCTCTCCCTGTGGACCTCTCCACAGGCTGGACATCCTTCCCCTTGTCTGGATCCCAAGAATGAGCATTTCAAGGAAACCAGGCTGAGTCACATGGCTCTTTCTTATCCAGCCCCAAAGGTCAAATAATGAACAAAAGGGTGAGCTCGAGAGATCTACTGTACAACATAGTGACTATAGTTAGGAATAATGAATTGTATACTGGATAATTGCTAAGAGAGTAGATTTTTAAGTGTTCTTGTCACGAATGAATAAGTATATGAAGTAACACACAAAAAAAATCAAATAGTGTCTTTTTCCCTACTCTATTTGTCAGCATCACTGATTCAAGGGAAATGGATTCTACTTCTCTATGAGAAGGATGTAAAAGAATGGGGGACCATGTTTTAAAATAACTACAGTTCACCATCTGGCCATGTTATTTATGTTTTTCCCATATGCAAAATATACTCACTTCTACTAATGCTTCCCCCAAGTCCCATCTATTATGTCGTTAGGAGCAGGCTCAAGGTCTAGAGTCTTGTCATCTAAATCAGGTTTAGCTGTGGATGAGGCTCCTCTGGTGCAGTGCATTGGGTACAGTTCTTTGAGTACTATTGCCCTTAATTTAAAGGCCAGTTACCTAAACAGGTAAGTTATTTCTCCTCCTTACATAATGAAGCAAACAAAGATAATTGCTAAAAGAACTTCACCCTGACAACCCACATCCCATGTTGAGCAATGGGGTAACTGGGACAGGAGATGTGATCCTGATACCGCAACATTTGTTCCCAATTTGGAGGAGTTTATTTGAGAGGTTCCATCCCTTAATCTTTGTTTGGAAGACTTTGGTATGTGTGTTACTTTATGCACACTCAGCCACCTAAAGCTCAAAAGTTTCTTTCCAGATCCGTGCTCCCGGTATCCCAGTCAAGTTGGGTGAATTCTCCCCTGAAATTCTTCCATCACTCCTGAAGCAAAGGTGAGGCAAATATCAATATTACATGTATCTTACCTATGGTTAAGGGGGGAAAATGGTGATTATGCACTACCATATTACTTTAACAAGTTATTTTAATTGGAAATAGTTTCAGGCTTACAGAAAATTTGCAAGAATAGTACAAAGAACTCCAATATACTCCTTACCCAGACTCAAGCTGAATAATTTCAATGAATCACCTCCCAATTCCAAAAGAGAGGTTAGGTAAAAAGAGAGAGCTGAATATCTCTGAGAATCCAGACAAATTTTGGCTCACTTCCAGGTACAATTTGAGCATAATTCCTTCAAAATTCTGATAATGGACATCTTTTGACTGTTGGCCAGGAATCTTCCCCCTTTCTTTAATGTAATAGGATCCCACATTTCCTTGGAACTATCTCTTCCCCGTTTTACAACATGTGGTTTATTTGGAATTAACCCCACCATGGTTCTCTTGAACCAACCAAAGGTGGGACCTAAGCTGGTCTAGTAAGAGTGAATCTGTTCAAATTATGCTAGGAATTCTAGTATAAAGAGCTATTCTTTCCGCCGGGATAGAAAATTGGAAACATATAGCCTTAGAATGCACTTGAAACTATCTTGGGAATACTAAGGAAATAGCCTTAAGATGAGGGCAACCCTGAAGAATACAGAGCTAACAGAGAGAAAGAAATCAGATCCTTGGTGATGTCATTGAGCTGCTGCTGGATCTAGCTTTACCTGAACTGAACTACTTCTGAGGTTTTATGCCCATCAGCCAATGAATTCCTTTTATTTTTTAGTCAGTTTAAATTAGGTTCTCTGTTATTTTCAACCAAAAGTGTGTTAATGCATACTCAATATGGGTACCCATATAGGGCCAAGGATACATTCTAGTGATGAGAAAAGGTTCCAATTTCGGGACCAGAAGTGTGGTACAGTGTGTGATGAGCCTTAGAGAATGGGGCTGGTGTTCTTTCAACCCTCCTGCTTTTGTCCATGATTGGAGCAGAACTGGGTCTGCAAAGAGTGGTGGTCAGGAGGCCACAGCTATGAGGAGAAGAGGAGAGTAAAGGTTGGAGCCTGATGCTGGGGAGAGCAGAGACCATGCCTGGAGTAGATCCATCTCAGAACACAGAGAAAGGATGGATGCAGGGCTGGACAGTTTTAGGGGGAAGACAAGAAGGGGAGCCTCAGGCTCTTAGAAACCCTGCTTGAGTGCCAACAGACTACTCTTCTAGGTAAAGAATGGATGTAGAAGAGGCTGCATGGGAAGCAGTAGATAACAGGAACATACAGTTACAATGTATTATTCGCCTGTGATGATGATGGTGATAATGATGTTAATTATTATAACAATGATAATAATGATGATGACATTGATGAAGATAATAGCATTGGTTGAAAATTAACCCCTACACATGTTTATTGATGTCTGCTTTCTTGACATGATGTCTGCTGTCTTGCCATGCCCAGTATCCGTTCCCCCTTTAATCTATAAGAGCATCTTGATTTTCTTTGAATACTCCTTTCTCCGCTATCAGTCCATTATCTGGGTAGAGTAGAGCCAATTTGGAACTCAGGATTCTAGACATGGACATATGACCCAATGTTGGCCAAGGGTAATATGATATCTCCCTGGGCACAGTGATAAGTGGAGGAGTGAATATATAACCAAAAGTGATCCAATCAGAGCTAATGAGGGCCAGTCTTAAGACTATTGGGAGAGAAGCACTCTTTCTCCATTAGAGAAAGCTTAGTGCTGCTGGAGGCCAGTTTGTCACCCTGAAGGGAAGGTGTCTTAGTCCATTTTGTGTTGCTATAAAGGAATATCTGAGGCTGAGTAATTTAAAAGAAAGAGGTTTATTTGACTCACAGTTCTTCAGGCTGTACAAGAAGCATGGCACCAGCATCTGCTTCTGATGAGGGCCTCGGGAAGCTTCTAATCATGGTGGAAGATGAAGGGAGAGCAGGCACGTCACGTGGTGAGAGAGGAGGAAGCAAGAGAGAGAGGGGAAAGGTGCCAGGCTCTTTTAAGCACCAAGCTCTCATGTGAACTAATAGAGTAAGAACTCATTCATTATCATGGGGATGACACTGAGCCATTCATGGGGGTCTACCCTAATGACCTAAACACCTGCCACTAGGCCCCACCTCAAACTTTAGGAATCAAATTTCAACATGAGATTGGGTGGTGGGGGGCAAATGTCCAAACAATATTCGAAGGCTTATAAGAAAATGGAGCCAACTGAGACAGAGAGAGAGAGAGAGATTTCTGATGATGTTTGAACATGTAGTTTCAGGTGTGTCTGAAATTATATCTGCCCTTAAACTTTTCAGTAACACTTTGGACCAATAAATACCCACTTCATTGATTTTTAGTTTAGTTTAGTTTTTTGCTTAACATGCCATTAGATGGGTATCTGTCATTTACAATCCTTACGATAATCCCATGAGGTAGACATTTATTATTCCCCTTTTACAGATAAGAAAACTGAGGCTGAGTGAAAAGTGACTGCTTCAACCCACACAGCTGGTAAAGGGCCAAGCGCAATAAAAATCCAACCCTTTTCTGGCTCTGGGCCCAGTGAGTTGCACATTCCATGCCCTGGATGAGTTCCATGTTCCTTTCCAGCTCTCAGATTCTATCTCCCTGTGCTGTCTCAGAATTGGATAGGTGCCAGGTCGGGGGCAGCAGGTAGTGGACCAGCTGCTGCCTGGGTCAGGAGCCCAGCATGTTCTCAAGGACACAGATGGGCTGGCAGCCTTGTGCTCTGGGCAGGGAGCCTAAGGCGGGGGTGGACACTGGTTTCTGGAGAAAAAGCTCATTCAAGACTCACTGATGCCCAGCACTAGGCTCCAAGCCTCCAGAGCCAAGGTTTGGCACGGCTTCTCTTTATGTGCCCAGGGCCCAGCGTGGAATGTCTGTTTAACTCAGCTCTTGAGAGCGCCTACACAATTGGAGGGAACCCCCTTTGGTGATGGTGATTGTTTGCTTAAATGTGTGTGTGTGTGTTTGCAGGGGGAAGCATGGAAAAACCTGGAGGCTTCTAAATTCCAAGGGCCTGTCACACCCAGAGGAGCCCAGAAAAGTCTTGTTGAATTGAGATAAGCAAATATCTGTTTATCAGATCCCTTTGAATTACCAGATTCTCCACTCCAGAAATACAATTATTTGATTTTTATAAAATTAATGAATTAATAGATGACGTTCTATAGAATACAAATAAAATACCACTACTAACTACTAGTTAGCACCATTTGCAGAACACCTGTTATGTGTCAGACACTAGCTGGATGCTTTATATTTATGACTGCATTTGATTCTCATTATAGCCTATGAAGAATGTGTCATTATTTGTTTTATATATAGATGAAGAAACAGAGGCACAGGGACATTAAATCACATATCCAAAGCCACAAATAATGCATATCTGCAGAACTAGGAATTTCCACCCAGAATTGGATGACCTCAAAAGCATGGCTTTTTCCACTCTACCTGTTCTGCTGCCAAGTATTGAGTGGAACAACAGCAATCAGAAGTCCTCAGTTCTAATCCCAGCACTTTGGAAGGCCAAGGAGGGAGGATCCCTTAAGCTCAGGAGTTCAAGATTAGCCTAGGCACCAAAGTGGGACCTCATCTCTACAAAAAGATTAAAAAATCAGCCAGGCATGGTGGCGCATGCCTGTAGTTCCAGCTGCTTGGGAGGCTGAGGTGGGAAAATTACTTGAGCTGAGGATTCAGTGAGCCATGATTATACAACTGCACTCCAGCCTGGGAGACAGACAGAGACCCTGTCTTAAGAAAAGAGAAATCCTCAAGGCAGTTGGTAGTTTTCACTTGATTCAAGCAGCTAGAAGAGCTGTTTCTTCCAGTCCAGGTTTGAATGTATTTCGGCTCCTGGCTTTCTCCTTCTGCATGGCTCACAGGAAACACAAGCTTAAATGGCCAATGCAGAAGCCTTCATCTTTCTGACTCCAACCCCACTCCCATTCCTGTCTTCCTGATTTTACTGGCTGAAGCCAGTTAGCCAAGACAGAAGCCTGGGCATTCTCGGAGACTTTTTCCTTTTTATTCCTCATGTCTAACCCATTGTTAGGTCTGGTGCTATGCGGACCCCCATCCTCACCTCAGCTTCCTGTATCAGTTTAGGCGTCATCGTCTCTTTCCCTGGTGAATGCAGCAGGCTCCTCACTGGCCTTCCTGCCTCCATTCTCCTCCGATTTATTGTCCGCATCAATTGCATGAGTGATCTTTCTTTCGCACAGATTCGATCTCAGTTATTCCTCATTGCCTATAGGGTAAAGTTTGAATGCCTTAGTCCAATGTCCGTAGACTGACATGCCCCCTTCCCTAGCCTCATCTACCACACCCTCTTATTTTGCCACTCCCTCAAAGCACAGGCCCTTATAACTTTTTGTTACCAGTATGAGGCAGAAGACAAGAGGTGAGTGTTGTGAAGAGTGAGGTGAAGAAGGGAGGGTTGACCCTTTCCACTAGAAAAAAACCATGTGTTCAGTGTCGTGGGATCTCGCTCGTTAGAACTGCATTCCTCCTCTTGGGAGAACAAGAAGCGGGATGAGGAGTGGGCCAGAGTGTGGACAGGGTTCCACTCTACCTGGACGTTGCTGGGATCAGAAATATAAAGTAGATACAGTGGAAATTGTCCACTTGACCTCCACTTAACTGTCTTGCTGGATCAGTGACTTTTCACCTGCAATCCTATTGCCTGATGTTGGTGGCAGGCGGAGCCCCAAGGCCATTAGACTGCTCTCCCGTTGAGATGACCCATGTTTTTCTGTTTTCGTCAGTCAACTTGCTGCTTAGCAGGAATCAGTTGTATTTGCTACCCTGCAACAATTCATCTCTGTACAGTCTTCTAAAGCATTCAGTTTAGCGTTCACAGGGGCAACCATTCTTTTTTGTGCCCATACTTTGTCAGTTTACATCATGTTTAACTAAATAACATAATGACAATAGTGAGTTCAATGTCTGTAATACATCAGAAAAAAGTTCTGTTTTCTTTGAGCACTAACTTGAATGATTTGAAAAGACCCCATAAATGTTAGTTGCTAAAAAAAAATCTGTACAAATATGTGTGGGTTAGAGACCTGCAAAGTGTTAGGGTAAAAAAAAAAAAACAAAAAAACACTGTCCATGATTCTGCACTCAAATGACATTTTCTGTTCTACTTTAATGATGCCTGAAGCATGAGTGTTAATTGTATTATGGCTATGGTTTATAGAAAAACCGGAATGCAGAATCCGATCAACAGAGCTATTCTGAGAGGCCTCAGAGGCCTTCATCTAAAATTATGTCAATACATGCATATTTATATACTTTAAGTTGAAGTAAGATGTTTAGCAGTATGTAGTTCATTAATTAAATTATTTCCTACTATAATGGACTTTTTTGATTACCAGTCAAATCTGGACCCCAACTGTGTAAACTCAAATATATATATATATATATATATATATATATATATATATATATTTGGGGGCTACGGAGTGTCACCCATGCTGAGTGCAGTGGTATGATTATGGCTCAATGCAGCCTCAACTCCCCAGCTTATGTGATCCTCCCACCTCAGCCTCTTGAGTAGCTGGGACTACAGTCTTGTGCCACCATGCCCAGATAATTTTTCATTTTTTGTAGAGACAGGATCTCACTATGCTGCTGAGGCTGGTCTCGACCTCCTGGATGCAAGCAATTCTCCCTCCTTGACCTGAGATTACTGGTGTGAGCCCTTGTGCCTGGCCAACTCAATTATATTATCATTCGGAGGGAAGAGTGGAGTGACAGTTTTGTTCAGGGATCCTGGGAGATGGGGGACCAGGTTATAGATAGCTGTAGAGGTAGATATAGACAGACATGTAGGCATAAATACATAGATGTAGAAATACAGGCATAGACATAGACTTGGATATATGCATATATGACCACCATCTTTTAATATCCAGTTCATGAGAATCCTTCCCCAGATCATTCACTCTGTAGTTTGTACTTTCATGTCGGGTTTCACATTGCATGGTAATTATTATTTTTCTCTATGTTTGGATATTCCCAATAGAGGCAAGCCTTGATGAAACAAAAGGAGCCCAAGTTTTGAGATCAGACAGACTTGGGTTTGAATCTCAACACTATCCCTTCCTGGCTGTGTGACTTTGGATAAGACCCGTGAACTCCCTGAACCTGAGCTGCAACCGTAAGCCAGAACACATATAAAGTGCTGAATAAATGGCAGCTGTCAGAATTCTTATTTAATATGTGCATCCCATTGGGTTGTACATTTCTGCTGATGCATCATTTTTTTCTGAGATTCCCCAAGGCTGGACTGTGTCTTGTTCAACTTTGTCTTCGCAGTGCCCCTTGATAAGTATAAGAATGCGCTAAGAGTTGGAAGCATGAATAAATCATCTTGTACTTTTTTGACGTTGGTCGTAATTTTTGGATCATTGTCAGAGGCCATCGGCTGCTTCCTTGAAAGTTTCAGGGAGGCTGAGGGGAAGGAGAGTGAAGGAGGCAGAGTTTGGAAAAGGATGGGGGACAGAGAAGGACAAGGGGGAAGAGAGAAAGGCAGGATCTGGAGCATCTGGATGGGCCTGTCCTTACTCCCTTGGTGGCCTCATTAGGTCTCGGAGCCTCATTAGCTCTCGGAGCCCAGGTGATAGGATGCTGCTGTGGCAGATACCTGGGAGACTGAGGCAGGCTGGTGGAGATGCAGCTGGTCTGTGAGCTGGAATGTCAGGGCCTGTCAGTCACTCAGGTCCCTCTGGCTGGGAATGAAGCTGGAGCTAGAAGCCCCAAGAGAGATGACAACAGATGCACTGATGGGGGCCGGGGAGGGAGACAATCTTTCCTGAGTACCTGCTGGGTTTTTGGCACAATGCTGGGCATGTCTACACCCATCCTCATTTCCTGTTCACATTGACCCTGAGGAGTAGGACTAACTCCCACTGAGTTAAAGATAAGAGACTGAAGCCCAGAGAGGCTGAGTATTCTGGCCAACGTCACACAGCTAGAAGAGGATTTGAAACCAGATCAGTCTGAAGCTGTGGCCTGGGCCTTTTTCTCTGGGTGTCTTTCAGTCCATTCTGTTGGGCAGAGCTGACAAGGCTGCCAGGCCATTTTGAATGCACAACCTTGGGGCCCCTGTAACGGAAGGGGCGCTGACTTAGAACTGGGAGCCCAGTGCAGAAGTTCCTGTTCTGCCCTTTCCTGGTAGTGTGACCTTAGTCAAGCCACTGCGCTTCCCAGAGCCTTACTTCCACCATGTATAACATGGGGGCAAAGACACTTATCTTGACTATAAAATAGACAAGTTGGGAATGATACTGGTGAGCTGGCCCAGCTCCCCAAATGCTGGTGGGACCTCAACCCTGGCTAGAGTCCAGGCTCTTGACACCACCGGGAGAAGGAATTCAAGGATGAGTCAGGAAATAGTGAAAGTAGGGAGATTTACTGCAAAGCAAAAACTACACGCTCAAGGAAGGGGAGTGCAGGGGTATTCAAAGAAAGTCAAGCAAGGGGGTTTGGGGCTGCTACGTTTATGGATATATTTGCCTAAGGGGTGGAATATTCTTGAAGATTCCTGGAAAAAGGTGGAGATTTCTCAGAACTGTGGTGCCACCCATTTTTACACTAAATATGGGTGGTCTTGGAACTGTCAAGATGCTGGTGGGTGTGTGCCTGAAATTTTCTATTTTCCTGCGACTACCCTGTATTATTCCTGTCTCAGGAGGGTGAAAATTATTCATAACGGTTGCAGAGTGCTTGTTCTGTGACACGTACTATGATAAGCCCCTTATGTGTAACCTCCTAATAAAACCTCACACAACCATAGGAGGTAGGGGTTGTTAACCTCATTTATTATAGATGTGGAAATCCAGGCTTTAAAGGGTTATATGGCTTTCTCTCTAGTAACACAGAGTAGGAGCTGAGCTGCATTGCCGCCGCCAGCTCCAGAGCCTGCCTGCTTGCTCTGCTCTAAAATGTATATAAAAGGACTTTTTAGAATGTAAAAGAACAGACATCTATTGTTTATTGCGGCTGCAATGTGCCAGACCTTTAGCCTGTAGCTTCCCATGCGTCATTCCACATATTCGCCAAAGACCCTGGGAAGCAGGGCCCAGTACGCTGCAGCTCAGAGAGGTTAATTCACCTGTCCAAGGTCACACAGCCAGAACTGGCAGACCTGGGGTGTAAGCCAGGTGTGCCTGACCCCCAAATGGCAAGGGATGCTGCTGCTGCTGTTAATAATGATGATGATTGGCTTGGTCCCAGGGTGACTGGAATCCAGGAGGTGGTCAGGCCCAAGGTGAAGCAGCTACCCCCAAGCCTCGGGACCAGGTGCTGTCCTTAGCGGCGCTCCTGCGCGTCCGCCTGGAGATGTCCCTGTCGATGCCGCTGTTTTGTTTTCCTTTTTGTATTTTCACCAATGTTTCAGTTCGGCTTTTCTGTCCCGAGGCGTTTTAATCACCAAGGGCCCTGTTCCAGACGTGCTGCGCATAAACAACGCCGGAAATAAATCCTGCCTGCTGCTGCCCCAACAAAGCCACCCCGCGGAGCCCACGGCGCGGGGGAAGCGGGGCCGGGAGCGGCGGAGACTGCCCGGGTTTCGACCCAGCTCTGCCTCTGCCCTGCCGCGCATGACCTCGACAGGGCTCTGAAGGGCTTCGATTTCCTAATTTGCCAAATGGGAAGAAAGACTGGCAATCCTCACAGAGATGGGCAAATCACATGGATCTGCAGGAGTGTTTGGGAAACTGCGAGAAGGTGAACCAGGTCTCACGAGGGAGCGATGGTGCGGGCTGCGGGCAGCTTGTGCTGTTCCATTTGCTCCTCGCGTGCAGCAAGGACGCAGAGAAGTCTGGGTTTACCAGCCCTCAGCAGGAGGTGTCCCGCGCCACACCCAGAGCTGGGATTGCGGGCGCGCCTAGGGTTCCAAAGCCCGCGCTCTTCACCCTTTCCAAGTAGAGCAAGTGCCCGAGGCTGTTCCTCACGAGCCCAGCAATTTTCCTTTGAGAAAGAAACCCACAGACCTGCAAGGCTCCCGCCTACTCAAGGCATAAAACAGGGCGCGTCGGCTTGGAGCGGGAGGGGCTTGGCGCCTCCCTGGGCCTCCCACTTGCAACCCCAGCGTCCTCCGATTCTAGGGTGGAGGGGCGGGGTGGGGTGTGGCCTCGGAGGGAAGTGTGCCGAAGCTGTGCCCACTGTGACCAGGACTAAGTCCACGCAGGGCCTAGAGGGCATGGATAGGCCCTTGGGAGAGGAGAGGCCCGGGAGGGAACCCCTGCTGGCGGAGCTGGACCGTGGGGTCCTGGAGTCATTTAGCCACATCTTTGTGTTATCAGAACTGCAAACTCTGGAGGCCAGTGGTACTGATGAGTCCTGGCCTTGTCACTTCCTAACTGTGTCCTGGAGCAAGTGACCTAACCATTATGAGTGTCTCTTTTTTCATGATAATACTCCTGCTTCAGACTGGTTATGAAGATTGGGTGAAAGTGATATTGTGTCTCTGCCCCCCTATTCCTGACATAGAGCTCCTGAAATCCTCGTGGACAGGGGTGATAGGAGGATCTTTGGTTCTGATATTTGGTCTTTGATCCCAGTTCCTGACACAGAGCTCCTAATCCCTTGGAATTTTCTGGGTAATAGGAGCATCTTTTGTTCTATTGAGGCAACTCTTGGTGGGCTCCTGGACAGCCTCAGGATGAGGGCTGGTTTCCAGGGAACCAACGCTGTCAGTAGAGGGTGGGAACTTTCAGCCTCACCTTTGACCTCTAAGGAGGAGAGGGGAACTGAAAGCTGAATCGATCACCAATGGCCAATGATTTAATCAGCCATGCCTATGTCAAGAAGCTTCCATAAAAACTTCAAAGGACAAGGTTCAGAGAGCCTCTGGATTGCTGCTTGTACAATGCAGAGGTGCCAGGAGGGTGGCATGGTGGAGAGGGCATGGAAGCCTCGCACCCCTTCCATACCTTGCCCCATGCATCTCTTCCATCTGGCTGTTCAGCTGTAACCTTTCTAATACCCTTTATGATAAATGGGCCAATGTATATAAAGTGTTTCCTTGAGTTCTGCAAGCTGCCCTGGCAAATTAATTGAACCCAAGGAGGGGGTTGAGGGAACCTTGATTTATTAATTGAACCCAGGGAGGGGGTTGTGGGAACTTTGATTTATAGCCAGTTGGTCAGAAGTATAGATGACAACTTACTACTTTTGATTGATGTCTGAAGGTAGGGGCAGTCTCATGGGACTGAGCCCTCATCCTGCAGAATCTGACACTAATTCCAGGTAGTTAGTGTTAGAAATGAGTTAAATTGTAGGACAGCCAGTCAGTGTCTGCTGGAGAATTACATGTCAGTGGGAAGAAAACTCACACACCTTTTGGTGACTAGAGGCGAAGTGTTTCTGTGCTGAGTGTTGTATTGAGTTTGAGTAGACGGAAAAAAACAGTTTGTTTTTTACCTTTACTGTGAATATATATATAAAGGACTTGGCATTGTGCCCAATAAGCAGTGAGCACTCAAGGGATTTCAGCTGTTATTCATGTTTGCAAAAGCAGGGTCTGTGCATCCCTCCACCAATCCATCCACCCATCCATCTATTCTTTATTCATTCATCTGCTTATTTGTTGAGCTCTGCCCATGTTCTGGGTCCCATCCATGTTGGCCCCTGGGGTTGCTGAGATTCAAAACAGAACAAAACAGCAACATGCAGCTCTCGTACGCACGTTTGCTCAAGTTGCTTGCGTTTGAGTTGGGACATGTGGATCAGATCAGGACCCTGTTGGGAACTCTTCAAGAAGGGTATCAGGATTAAGTGAAGGGAGCATTTACAAGATGTAGACCAGGTCAAGGAACTAAGGAGATGAATGTGCATACAGGAAGATGTTACTACCCTAGGTCTCAAGGGACCAGAAGAAGGAGCAGCTGCTGAAACCCTGCAAGAGCTGTGGCCAGAGGAAGAGGGACCCAGGCACTACCAAAGGGGGGCCCGGAAGAGGGGAAGCAGGAGACTAAATGCCTGCCTCCTTGTCCTCCCTGCTCCCTGATCCTTCGCTGGTGCCTAACGTTTATTTAGCCAACCAGAGGTCAGAGGGCAAAGGAGTCTGGCTGAGAGCCGGGTGGAGAGGAGTGGATGAGGAAGACGATAAATGGCAAATATTCACCATGGTCTCTAGACACCAGTGGGCAGGGTGCACGTTTGTGCACAGGGATGCCCAAGAGCTTGTGGGGTCACAGCCAGGGCTGCTTGCACGCTGGTGGGAGATAACGAGGACTTCCTGAAGGGTAGGACATTGGAGTCCAGGCATGAGCCAGAGTTTTCCAGGCCCTGGAGAGGTGGAGAGGCAGACAGCGTTCCTGATAGCTGCCTGAGCATGGAGGTGTGGGAGAGAAGCAGAGACTGTGGAGGGGTAGTGGAAAGTGTCAGCGTGGGCTGTGTGTGCAAGAGGGGGAAACAGAGGCCCATGGCAGGGAGGCTGGCTGGTGGTCCTAGAGCAAGCAGGGGCAGGGCTGGGATTAAAGTTTGGAGCCTTAGGGTTTGGCTGGGCCTCTTCTCCTCTCCAGGACTGCATTTCCCAGTGAGAGCCATTTTTGAAAAATTAATTTTTAATGACACAAGTAAGCCCTGAATATATTCTCCCTGTCAAAAATGAAAACACAATGGATCCATCACTCCTGATGCCCCGTGGCTGGGGTTTGTTGAATGATTTCCAGTCATCTGTCTAGTAGTTCTCAACCGGGGGCCACCGTGCCCTCCAGGGACATTTGGCAGTGCCTTGGAGACATATTTGATCATCACAGCTGAGGGTTGGTGCCACTGGCATCTACGGTAGAGGCTAAGGATGCTGCTAAACATCCTACAGTGCACCGGACAGCCCCTGCCGTGAATAATTTTCTAGCCCAAAATACCCACAATGCTGAAGTTGAGGAATTCTGGGATAGGCCAGGGGTTCTTAACCTTTCTGGTTTTTTTCCCCCCACTATCCCTCTCCTAAGGAGCTTTTAAAGATATTTTTCCCCTAATCCTCCCCCACCATAAGTGTAGTAATGTTACAGATAAATCGCATATATGCTGGTGTACTCTATGTATATCTGCGCTTTAGACACAAGAAAGATAAGATTATTTAGCCCCTCAAGAATCGATTTTCGACCTCTTGGAGGCCGTCTCTCCATCACTGGGAACACGTGGTGTAGGCATTTACACAAGAGCCACACTGTGTGTGCATTTTGGTAGAAATGGTATCATGCTGCATAAAGAGTTCTGCAACATAGATTTTCAAATCAAAGATGCTTTTTTTCTTTGGCTCTGCACAACGTTCCATTTTATGAAACTAACATTATAGTCAACTATTCCTGTGCTGATGGACATTTAGGCTGTTTCCAGGTCCCCCCACCACCCCAAATACAAGCAATGCTGCAAACAATTAGATTATTATTTTTAGTGAAACTTTCTATTCTGAGATAATTGTAGATTCACATTCACTTGTAAGAAACAGTACAGAGAGATCCCATGTACCCTTTAACTAGTTTCTCGAATGGTAACATCTTGCAAAATTATAATACTATATCAGAACTAGGATATGGAAATGTACAGTCAAGTTACTAATATTCCATCACCAGGCGATCCCTCCTGTCACTCTTTCATAGCCGTGCCCACTCTCTTCCTACCCTCACTATCCATTAACCCTTGGCAATCACTAAACTGTTCTCCATTTAGAAATTTTGTTATTCCAAAGATGTCAAATAAATTGGATCATACAGTATGAAATATTTTAGGATTGACTTTTTTCACTCAGCAAAATTATCTTGAGATTCATCCAGGTTGTTGTGTATATCATAGGTGGTTCTTTTGATTACTGAGCAGCTTTCTGTGGTGTGGATCTGCCACAGTGTGTTCAACCATTCACCCACTGAAGAATATCTGGGTTGGTTCCAGTTTTTGACTATTATAAACAAAGCAGCTATAAATAATCATCTACAGATGTTTGTGTAAACAAAAGTTTTAATATCTCTGGGATAAATGCCCAGGAGTGTGATTCCTGGATCGTATAGTAGTTGTATGTTTAGTTTTAGAAATTGCCAAACTGATTTCCAAAGTGGTAGCGTCATTTTACAATTCTGACAGCAATATAAGATTTATCCAGTTTCACTGCACCCTCACCAGCATTTCATATTGTTAGCATTTTTAATTTTAGCCATTCTGATCAGTACATAGTAATATCTCATTATGCTTTTAATTTGCATTTCTTAGATGGCTAATGATGCTGAACATTGTTTCGTGTGTTTATTTGCCATCTGTATACCTTCTTTGGTGAAATGTCTCTTCATGTCTGATATGGTTTGGATATATGGCCCTACCCCAAATCTCATGTTGAATTATAGTCACCAGTGTTAAAGGTGGGGACTGGCAGGAGGTGATTAGATCATGGGGGCCATTTCTAATGGTTTATTATCATCCCTCTAGTGCTATCTCATGATAGAGTTCTCACGAGATCCAGTTGTTTAAAAGTGTGTGGCACCTCTCCCCTCTCTCTCTTTCTCTTGCTCCAGCCATGTAAGATGTGTCTGCTTCCCCTTCATTTTCCTCCATGGTTGCAAGTTTCCTGAGGCCTCCCCAGAAGTTGTCAGGCTTCCTGTACAGCCTGCAGAACCATGACCCAATTAAGTGTCTTTTCTTTATAAATTACCCAGTCCCAGGTATTTCTTTAGAGCAACATGAGAACAGACTAATACAGAAAATTGGTAGCAGGAGTGGGGTATTGGTATAAATATACCTGAAAATGTGGAAGCACCTTTGGAATTGGGTACAAGGCAGAGGCTGAGTGTGAAAGGCCCAGAAGAAGACAGGAAGATGAGGGAAAGTTTGGAACTTCCTAGAGACTTGTTAAATTGCTGTGACCAAAATGTTGATAGCAATATGGACAGTGAAGGCTAGGCTGAGGAGATATCAGAAGGAAATGAGGAACTTATTGGGAACTGGAGTAAAGGTCACTTTTGTTAGGTGTTAGCAAATAATCAGGTGGCATTATGCCCCTGTTCTAGGAAGCTATGGAACTTTGAACTTGAGAGTGATGATTTAGGGTATCTGGTGGAAGAAATTTCTAAGCAGCAAAGCATTCAAGTTGTGGCCTGGCCACTTCTAACAGCATATGATCATGTGTGTGAGCAAAGAAATGACCTGAAACTGGAACTTATATTTAAAAGGGAAGCAGAGCATAAAAGTTTAGAAAATTGAAAATTTGCAGCCTGGCCATGTGATAGAAAAGAAAAAGCCAACCTGGCACAGTGGCTCACGCCTGTAATCCCAGCACTTTGGGAGGCCGAGGAGGGCAAATCACCTGAGATCAGGAGCTTGAGACCAGCCTGGCAAACGTGGTGAAACCCTGTGTCTACTAAAAATACAAAAACTAGCAGGGCATAATGGTGCATGCCTGTAATTGCAGCTATTCAGGAGGCTGAGGCAGGAGAATCACTTGAACCTGGGAGGTGGAAGTTGCAGTGAGCCAAAATAGCACCATTGCATTCCAGCCTGGGCATTGCAGTGAGACTCTGTCTCAAAAAAATTTAAAAAAAAGAAAAGAAAAGGCCATTTTCAGGGGAAGAATTTAAGCAGGCTGCAGAAATTTGCATAAGTAAAGAGGAGCCAAATGCTTATAGCTGAGACAATGGGAAAAGGCCTTCAAGGCATTTCAGAGACCTTTGAGGAAGTCCCTCCCATCACAGGCCCGGAGGCCTAGAAGGAAAGAATGGTTCTGTGGGCCAGGACCAGGGCCTGTGCAGCCTCAGGACACTGCTCCCTGCATCTCAGCCACTCCAGCTCCAGCTGTGGCTAAAAGGGCCCCAGATACAGCTTGGGCTGCTGCTTCAGAGGGTGCAAACTGTAAGCCTTGGTGGCTTCCATGTGGTGTTAAGCCTGCCAGTGCGCACAGTGCAAGAGTTGAGGCTTGGGAGCCTCCTCCTAGATTTCAGAGGATGTATGGAAAAGCCTAGATGTCCAAGAAGCCTGCTGCAGGGGCAGAGCCCTCATGGAGAACCTCTATGAGGGCCGTACAGAGGGAAAATGTGGGATTGGAACCCCCACAGAGTGCCCACTGGGGCACTACCTACTGGAGCTGTGAGAAGAGGGTCACTATCCTCCAGAGCCCAGAATGGTAGATCCACCAACAGCTTGTACTGTGTACCTGGAAAAGCCACAGGCACTCAATACCAGCCCTTGAGAGCAGCCATGGGGGCTGAGCTCTGTAGATCCATGGGGGCAGAGATGCCTAAGGTCTTGGGAGCCCACCTTCACACCAGTGTGCCTTGGATGTGAGACATGGATTCAAAGGAGGTTATTTTGGAGCTTTAAGATTTAATGACTGCCCTGCTGGATTTCAGACTTGCATGGGGCCTGTATCCTCTTTCTTTTGGCTGATTTCTCCTTTATGGAGTGGCAGTATTTACCCAATGCCTGTACCCTCATTGTATCTTGGGAGTAACTAACTTGTTTTTGATTTTACAGACGGATAGGTGGAAGGGATTAGCCTTGTCTCAGATGAGACTTTGGACTTTGGAATTTTGAGTTAATGCTGGAATGAGTTAAGACTTTGAAGGACTGTTAGAAAGTCATGATTGTATTTTGGAATGTGAGAAGGACATGAGATTTGGGAGGGGCCAGGGGCAAAATGATTTGGTTTGGATCTATGTCCTCACCCAAATCTCATGTTGAATTGTAATCCCCATGCTAAAGGTGGGGTCTGGTGGGAGGTGATTGGATCATGGGGGCAGTTTCTAATAGTTTAGCACCATCCCCCTAGTGCTGTATTGTGACAGAGTTCTCACGAGATCTGGTTGCTTAAGTGCGTGGCACCTCTCCCCTCTCTTTCTTTTTCCTGCTCCAGCTGTGTAAGATGTGCCCACTTCCCCTCATTTTTGCCATGATTCACAGTTTCCTGAGGACTCCCCAGAAGCTGTCATGCTTCCTGTACGGCCTGCAGAACTGTGACCCAATTAAATCTCTTTTCTTTATAAATTACCCAGTCTCAGGTATTTCTTGATAGCAGTGTGAGAATGGCTACAATGTCTTTTGACTATTTTCTAATTGAATTGTTCATTATCTTACTGTTAAGCTCCAAGAGGTTTTGCTTATGTTAGGTTTATTGAGATAAAATTTACATGCAATAAGATATACCCTTTTAAGGCATACAGTTCTATGAATTTTGACAAATACATACAGTTAGGTAACCATTACTACTACATCAATATATAAAACAATTCCAACACCTCCTCCTCATACACAAACATTGCCTTATGCCTCTTAGCCCCACTGCCAGCAATGCTGATCTGTTTTCTAACCTTACATAGAGTTTTGCTTTTTCCAGAAAATTATATAAATGGAATCATGCAGTATGAAACCTTTTTGAGTCTGGCTTCTCTTACTTAGTATTGTGAATTTGAGATGTTCTGATATATACATATATAAATATTAAATATTTAATTTTAAATATTCAATTAATTTTAAATGTAAAATTATTGTTTCTAGATACTAGTCCTTTGTTGGGTACATGGTTTGCAATATTTTCTCCTAGTCTGTAGCTTGTCTTTTCATTCTATTAACAGGGTCTTTCACAGAGGAAAACTTTTAAAGTTTTAATAAGGTCCAATTTAGCGTTTTTTTCTTTTATGAATTGGAGTTTTGATGTCAAGAAGCCTGAGAACCCTTTGCCTAGCTCCAGACCCTGAAAGTTTTCTCCCATTTTTTTCCAAAGGTATTTATAGTTTTTTTTTTTTTTTTTACATTTATGTCTGTGGTCCATTTTGAATTAGGTTTTGATAAGATGTGAGGTTTAGGTCAAGGTTCTTTTTTTTTGGTATACGGATGTCTAATTGCTTCAGCAGCATTTGTTGAAATGTATTGAATTGCTCTCGCACTTTTGTTAAAAATCAGTTGGATGTATTTATGTGAGTCTATTTCTGGGTTCTCTACTGTGTTCCATTGTTCTATTGTCTGGCCCTCCACCAATATCACAAGGTCTTGATTCATGCAGCTATATAATAAGTTTCTAATTCAGGTAGACTAATTCCTCTCACTTTACTCTTATTTTTAAAAAATGCATTAGCTATTCTAGTTCCTTTACCGTTCCATATAAATTTTAGAATAATCTTGTCTATATTTACAAAAATCATTGCTTGGATTTTGATAATAATTGTGTTAAACATGAGTACCAGTTGTGGGGATAATTGACTATAATTACTATGTCAAGTCTTCAAATGAACATAGTATGTCTTTCCATTTATTGAGATCTTCTTTAATTTCTTTCATCAGCATTTAATGGTTTTCAGCATGCAAGTCCTGTACATGTGTTTTTTGATTTATACTTAAGAATTTCTCTCTTTTCAAGTGATATTAAATGGTAATGTATTTTAAATTTCAGCATCAAGGTGTGCATTGCTAGTATATAGAAATACAATTGATTTTTATATGTTTATCTTGTCTTGTAATCTTGCTAAACTAACTTATTAAAACTCTCAGAAAAATAGGAATGGAGAAGAACTTCTTCAACTTGATCAAAACATTGACACAAAATCTATAACTAATATTAAACCTAACAGTGAAAAACCATTGTATGTTTTCCCCCTAAGATCAGGAAAAAAACCTTGTTTTTTGTTTTTGTTTTTTTTTAAGATTCCTTTGAAATTTCTACATATACAGTGATATCATCTGTAAATACTGATAGTTTTATTTATTCCTTTCTGGTCCATAAGCTTTTTATTTAATTTTCTTTCTTTATTGCACTGACACTAGAATTTCCAGCAGTATGTTGAATAAGAGTGATGATATCAGACATCCTTCCTTGCCTTGTTCCTGATCTTAGGAGGAAAACATACAATAGGTTTTTTTGTTTTTGTTGTTTTATTTTTTGATACAGAGTCTTACTCTGTCACCCAGGCTGGAGTGCAGTAGTGTAATCTTGGCTCACTGCAACCTCTGCCTCCCAGGCTCACGTGGTTCTCCTGCCTCAGCCTCCCAAGTAGCTGGGATCACTGGCACTTGCCACCGTGCCTGGCTAAGTTTTGTATTTTTAGTAGAGATGGGGTTTCACCATGTTGGCCAGGCTGGTCTTGAACTGGTGACCTCAAGTGATCCTCCCGCTTCAGCCTCTCAAAGTGCTGGGAATACAGGAGTGAGCTAGTGTGCCCATCCCAATAGCTGTTCACTATTAGGTTTAATGTTAATTATAGATTTTTGTGTAGATGTTTTGATCAAACGGAGGAAGTTCTTCTACAATCCTATTTTTCTGACAGTTTTGATCATATGTGGATGTTAAATTTTGTCAAATGCTTTTTTTACATCAATTAATATATCAAATGATTTATCTTCTTTAGTTTGTTCATACAGCGGGTTGCATTTATTGATTTTCAAATGTTGAAACAGTATTTGGTCATGGTGTATAATATTTTTATGTATTGCAAATTCTATTTGCTAATATTCTGTTAAGGATTTTTGTGTCTATATGCATGAGGGATATTAGTCTGTAGTTCTAGAACTTTTCTTTTTTTGATACTATGTTTATCTTTGATTTTTGTATCAGGGTAATACTAGCTTCATAAAATAAACTGAGAAGTGTTTCCTCCTTTTCTGTTTTCTGGAAGAGATTGTGCAGAATTGGTGTTACTTCTTTTAATGTTTGGTAGAACTCCAGTGAGGCCATCTGGGTGTGAAGATTTCTTTTTTGGAAGATTTAAAATTATGAATTCAATGTTTTTAATAGGGCTATCCAAATAATCAGTTTCTTATTTGGTGATATGAGGGTAGTTTGTGCTTTTCAAAAAATCGATCCATTTTACTAAGTTGTCAAATTTATGTGTGTAGAGTTGTTGTAGTAGTCCCTTATTATCCTTTTGATGTCTACAGGGTCTGTAGAGATCTCCCTGGTTTCATTCTTGATATTAGTAATTTGTGTTCTCTCTTTTTTCTTCCCTTTGTTAGCCTTGCCAGAGGTTTGTCAGTTTTATCGATCTTTTCAAGAATAAGTTCTTTGATTTTTCTTTATTATTTCATTGTTTTCAATTTCATTGATTTCTGTTATTTTTATTATTTCCTTTTCTCTGCTTGTTTTGGGTTTATTTCACTACCATTTTTCTGTCCTTGAGGTGGAACCTTCAATTACTCATTTGATACTCTCCTTTCTTTCTAATGGACGCATTTTGTGCTGTAAATTTCTCTCTTAGCACTGTGTATTAGTCTGTTCTCATGCTGCTAAAAAAAGACATACCTGAGATTGGGTAACTTATAAAGGAACGAAGTTTAATTGACTCAGTTCAGCATGGTTGGGGAGGCCTTAGGAAACTTACAATTATGACAGAAGGGGAAGCAAACACCTCCTTTTTCATGGTGACAGGAAGGAGAAGTGTGAGCAAAGGGGGGAAAGGTCCCTTATAGAACCATCAGATCTCATGAAAACTCACTCACTATCATGAGAACAGAATGAGGGTAAACACCCCCCTGATTCAATTACCTCCCAATGGGTCCCTTCCATGATATGTAGGGATTATGGGAACTACAATTCAAGATGAGATTTGGGTGGGGACACAGCCAAACCATATTATTCCATCCCTGGCCCCTCCAAAATCTCATGTCCTCACATTTCAAAACACAATCATGCCCTTCCAACAGTCCCCCCAAGTGTTAACTCATTCCAGCATTAACTCAAAAGTTTAATTCCAGGCTGGGCTCAGTGGCTCATGCCTGTAATCCCAGCATTTGGGGAGGCCAAGGCGGGTGGATCATGAGATCAAGAGATGGAGACCACCCTGGCCAACATGGTCAAACCTCATCTCTACTAAAAATACAAACATTAGCTGGGCATGGTGGCGTACGCCTGTAGTCCCAGCTACTTGGGAGGCTGAGGCAGGAGAATTGCTTGAACCCAGGAGGCAGAGGCCACAGTGAGCTGAGACTGCGCCACTGTACTCCAGCCTGGTGAAAGAGCAAGACTCCTTCTCAAAAAAAAAAAAAAACAAAAAAAAAACCAAGTCCAAGTCCAAAGTCTCATCTGAGCCAAGGCAAGTCTCTTCCACCTATGAGCCTGTAAAAATGAAAGCAAGTAAGCAAGTTAGTTACTTCCTACATACAATGGGGGTACAGGCATTGGGCAAAAACACATGCTCCAAATGGGAGAAATTGGCCAAAACAAAGGGGTTACAGGGCCCATGCAAGTCCAAAATCCAATAGGGCAGTCATTAAACCTTAAAGCTCCAAAATAATCTCCTTTGATTCCATGTCTCTCACATCCAGGTCATGCTGATGCAAGAGGTGGGCTCCCATGGCCTTGGGCAGCTCAGCTCTGTGGCTTTGCAGGGTACAGCCCCCCTTCCAGCTGCTTTCATGGGCTGGCATTCAGTGTCTGTGGCTTTTCCAGGTGCATGGTGCAAGCTGTTGGTGGATATACCATTCTGGGGTCTGGAGGATGGTGGCCCTCTTCTCACAGACCCAGTAGGCAGTGTTGCAGTGGGGACTCTGTGTGGGGGCTCATACCCCACATTTCCCTTCTGCACTGCCCCAGCAGAGGTTCTCCATGAGGGTTCCACCCCTGCAG